>NT_187674.1:0-198005 GCF_000001405.40 Homo sapiens | reverse complement strand
GAATTCCATTCTAGCACTTGTGAGCATGTGTCTTTGCACCAGTCATGTCTTCTATTTTTTTTTTTTTTGAGATAGAGTCTCACTGTGTTCCAGCCTCTGGAGTAGCTGGGACTACAGGCACACACCACATACCCAGGTAATTTTTTTCATATTTTTAGTAGAAACGGGGTTTTGCCATGTTGGCCAGGCTGGTCTTGAACTCCCAACCTCAGATGACCTGCCTGCTTCGGCCTCCCAAAGGGCTGGGATGGCAGGCCTCTGAGGCTGGAGTACAGTGGTGTGATCTCAGCTCACTGCAACCTCCGCCTCCCGAGTTCAAGCAATCCTCTTGCTTCAGCCCCGAGTAGCTGTAATTACTGGCGTGCGCCACCACACCCAACTCATGTTTGTATTTTTAGTAGAGATGGGGTTTCACTGTGTTGGCCAGGCTGGTCTTGAACTCCTGACCTCAAGTGATCCAGCCGCCCCTGCCTTCCAAAGTGCTGGGATTACATGCAGGAGCCACCCGGCCCAGCCCGTCTTCTATTTAAGCCTCATTTTCCTCATTAAGTCATCATTACCTCTTTCTCCTCACACATAGTGAAATTCAAAGTCTCACTATTTTTTTTTCTTTTTCTTTTTCTTTTTCTTTTTTTTTGAGACGGAGTCTCACTCTGTCGCCCAGGCTGGAGTGCAGTGGCGCGATCTCAGCTCACTGCAAGCTCCGTCTCCCGGGTTCACGCCATTCTCCTGCCTCAGCCTCTTGCGTAGCTGGGACTACAGGCGCCCGCCACCACGCCCGGATAATTTTTGTATTTTTTTTTAGTAGAGACAGGGTTTCACCGTGTTAGCCAGGATGGTCTTGATCTCCTGACCTCATGATCCACCTGCCTCGGTTTCCCAAAGTGCTGGGATTACAGGCGTGAGCCACCGCGCCGGGCCTCACTCCTGTAATCCTAGCCGTGCGCCCCAGGCCCATCCCACCGTCATCTTCCAAACATCATTTTCAACCCTCCTGGCCTCATAGTTATTATTGTATTACCCCAGTTATCTTCCTGCCCCAGGGCACAGGCAGATGCCATTTCATTCTCTCCAGAGCCTCCTTTCTCCTGACAGCCACATGATTAACTCAAGTCTGAACGCATTTGCTCAGATGCCTTCTTTCTCTGTGAGGTCCATCTGGACAAACCTATTTAATATTGCTAGCTGCCATTTCAATCACTGTAAGTCTGTTCTACTTTGTCTTTTCCTTCCATAGCATCATTCCCTCCTGTGTGCTATCCTGACGTTGACCGATGGTGTGTCTCCTCCTGCTAGAATCTAAGTGCTGCACAGTCAAGATATCTGCCTGGCTGACTGTTACAGTGTAGTTCACTGTGTATACTATGCACTTGATGAATATATATATATAATAGTTTTGTTTTTGTTTTTCTGTGAGATGGAGTCTCGCTGTGTCGTGCAGTGGAGTGGAATGCAGTGGCGCGATCTCAGCTCACTGCAACCTCTGCATCCCAGGTTCAACAATTCTCCTGCCTCAGCCTCCTGAGTAGCTGGGATTACAGGCGAGCACCACCAGGCCCGGCTAATTTTTGTATTTTTAGTAGAGATGGGGTTTCACCATGTTGGTCAGGCTGGTCTCGAATTCCTGACCTTGTGATCCAACCACCTTGGCCTCCCGAAGTGTTGGGATTACAGGTGTGAGCCATGATGCCCAGCCTAAGTTTTGTATTTTTAGTAGAGACAGGGTTTCGCCATGTTGGCCAGGCTGGTCTCAAACTCCTGACCTCAAATGATGCACCATCTCGGCCTCCCAAAGTGCTGGGATTACAGGCGTGAGCCACCACGCCTGGCCTCGATGAATATTTTGAATGAATGCCACGTTTTTAGTGTCACTGGGAGGCTCTGATCGCTCGTCTGAGCTTAGAAGGACCAGTTACTCACCAGGAAAGGTGGGGTCTTCAGGTGCAAGGCTGGTGTTCTCAATGTCGCCTGGAAAAGGAGATAAAGAAAAAAAAGTAAGGGTTTTTGGTTTCCTCCGGTCTTGCCATTCTTTTTTTTTTTTTTTTTTTTTTGAGATGGAGTCTTGCTCTGTCGCCCAGGTTGCAGTGCGGTGGTATGATCTCGGTTCACTACAACCCCCGCCTCCCGGGTTCAAGCGATTCTCCTGCCTCAGCCTCCTGAGTAGCTGGGACTACAGGTGTCCGCCACTGCGTCTGGCTAATTTCTGTATTTTTAGTAGAGACGGGGTTTCACCGTCTTGGCCAGGCTGGTCTCGAACTCCTGACCTTGTGATCCACCCGCCTTACCATTCCTTTCTCTGTTCCCTCCTCCTTCCTGCTTCTGGTGTTCTTCCTCACATGACCAACCAGGCACCCAGGAAGTGGACGTCCCTTGGACACCCTCCCCATCACTCTCTGGGGATCCCTCAGGGCTCCAGGTAGCACATGGCGGCGAAGGGTGTGGGGAATTGAGCATTTCCTCACCTGTGACCAGGAGCTTCACTGGCTCACTGGGGAAAGACCAGGCATGGTTGTTATAGGAGCCAAAACATCGGTATGTCCCTCTGTGGGCTGTGGTCACAGGGCCCAGGGGGAACTCCGCCTGGACCTTCCCGTATCCGCGCTGTACGTGGCTGGATCTTCCCTCCTTGAGCAGTAAGAACATGCTTGTTGCAGTGTCTAGACGGCAGTAGAAGGTCACCTTCTCTCCCGAGATCACTTCGGGTCCAGGATGAACCGAGAGGGTGGGTGTGTCATACATTTCTATGAGAGAAGGTGGGGCCACCACACCAGAAACTCAGTGATGAGCAGCCAGCTATTTTTTTTTTTCTTTCTTTAGAGATGGAGTCTCTCTCTGTCGCCCAGGCTGGAGTGCAGTGACACGATCTTGGCTCACTGCAACCTCCGCCTCCCGGGTTCAAGCGTTTCTCCTGCCTCACCCTCCCAAGTAGCTGGGACTACAGGGGCCTGCCACCATGCCTGGCAGCCAGCTTTTTTTTTTTTTTTTAATTATTATTTTGGTCAAATACACACAATAGAAGATTTACCGTCTAAAACCATTTTTAAAAATGATACAGGGTCTTGCTCTGTTTCCCAGGCTGGAGCGCCGTGGCACTATCTTTGCTTACTGAAGCCTCGACCTCCTGGGTCAGGAGTTTGAGACCAGCCTGGTCAACATGGTGAAACCCCGTCTCTACTAAAAATGCAAAAATTAGCCGGGTGTGGTGGCACATGCCTGTAATCTCAACTACTTGGGAGGCTGAGGCAGGAGAATTGAGGCTGAGGCAGAGGTTGCAGTGAGCTGAGATTGTACCACTGCACTGCAGCGAGACTGTCTCAAAAAAAAAAAAAAAAGCCCCGGCCAGCCGCCCCGTCCGGGAGGTTGGGGGGCAGCCCCCGCCCGGCCACTGCCCCGTCTGGGAGGTGGGGGGGCGCCTCTGCCCGGCCGCCCCGTCTGGGAAGTGAGGAGCCCCTCTGCCCGGCCGCCACCCCGTCTGGGAGGTGTACCCAACAGCTCATTGAGAACGGGCCATGATGACGATGGCGGTTTTGTCGAATAGAAAAAGGGGAAATGTGGGGAAAAGAAAGAGAGATCAGATTGTTACTGTGTCTGTGTAGAAAGAAGTAGACATAGGAGACTCCATTTTGTTCTGTACTAAGACAAATTCTTCTGCTTTGGGATGCTGTTAATCTATGACCTTACCCCCAACCCCGTGCTCTCTGAAACATGTGCTGTGTCCACTCAGGGTTAAATGGATTAAGGGCGGTGCAAGATGTGCTTTGTTAAACAGATGCTTGAAGGCAGCATGCTCCTTAAGAGTCATCACCACTCCCTAATCTCAAGTACCCAGGGACACAAACACTGCGGAAGGCCGCAGGGACCTCTGCCTAGGAAAGCCAGAGACCTTTGTTCACATGTTTATCTGCTGACCTTCTCTCCACTATTGTCCTATGACCCTGCCAAATCCCCCTCTCCGAGAAACACCCAAGAATGATCAATAAATACTAAAAAAATTAAAAAAAAAAGAATAAATGAGTAGCTGTGTTCCCCTGCCAGAACCTCCAAACAAGGTCCAAAGACCCTGAGCAAATGAAAAGGCACAGACAAAAAATATATATATTTCAACACAAGTATATGACACAGAATATAGAAATAACTTTTCCTAATCAATCAAAATATAAGCAACCCAATTTAAAAATAGGCAAAAGATTTAAATAGACATTTCACAAAAGAAGATATTTGAATGGACATGAAATACTGTTGTGAGCTGCATAATGACATTTTGGCCAACAATGTACCACATATATGATGGTGGTCCCATAAGATTATAATGAAACTGAAAAATTCCTATTGCCTGATGACATCATAGCCTTCCTAGCACAAAGTATTGCTCATGTGTTTTTGGTGTTGCTGGTATAAACAAACCTAATTGTATAGCACATACAATTATGTATGTATATGTAACTATGTATAATACTTGATAATAATAATAAACAACCATATTGTTAAAAAAAAAAAAAAGCTAATTTTTTTTTTTTTTTAGAAAACCACCACCTGGCTGGGTGTGATGGCTCACACCTGTAATCCCAGCACTTTGGGAGGGTGAGGCGGGCGGATCATCTGAGGTCAGGAGTTCGACACCACCCTGGCCAACATGGTGAAACCCCATCTCTACTAAAAATACAAAATGTGGCGTAGTGGTGGGTGCCTGTGATCCCAGCTACTTGGGAAGCTGAGGCTGGAGAATCACTTGAACCCAGGAGGTGGAGGTTGCAGTGACTGGAGATTGCACCACTGCACTCCAGCCTGGGTGACAAGAGCGAAACTCCGTCTCAAAACAGATAAAAAAAAAAAAAACCCACCACCTGTGATGGGTGAGGGAAGCAAAGTGTAAGCCACTGCGCCTGGCCCACAGGCATTGTTTTTGAGGACATTCCTCAGTCATACCCCTGCATACAAATATCTATCTCAGAATCTGTGTCATGGAGAAACTGACTGAGGACACATCTGCTCCTAGGACGTAGAGACACGGTCTGCAGACAACCCCTTGTAGGCAAGGATTGTGATGGGGATCACCCCTCCTTCCAGCCTCCTACCGAGACAAGCAGTGTCTGAGTGGGGCTTGGAAGAGTTCATAGATGATGCTGCATCCCGGATGCAGACTGAGATCACTCTCCAGTTAGAGAACCGGACAGTTACCTGTTACCACCAGATCCAGCAAGTTGCTGGGCTCTGACCAGAGCTCCCCAACCCGATAGATGCAGCTGTATTGCCCTGCCATGCGGGAGTTCATGTCCGGGATGTAGAATTGGACTTTGTTAATCCGCTCAGGGGGTTTTGGTCTGTCCACGGCAAAAAGGCTTCCTTCAAAGTGCAGCTGGTATTCAACAGCCCCATAATTTCCCTGGCAACAGATGGTCACTTGCTTTTCCTTTGGAACCATGAAATGGGGCTCGGCCCAGATGAACGGTTTTGGGAGAGTCTCTGGAAGGGAATCAGAGGCTGGAGTTCCAGCGGAGCCCCCTCCCCCCAACCTTAGGCTCCACCCAGCTGCTGGCCCCAAGCTCTCCTGGGAAGCCAGCACCCTGTCCCCTCACCCCAGCCGTGCTTGGGTGGAAGGAGCTTGGCCTGAATCCGGAAGAGTGACCCTGGGCTTTGAAGGAAGGACTCACGCTGCTGGGCGCTGATCCTCTGACTCAGACACAGCCCTGGAAGACGGGAGTAATGAGACCTGTTGCCTCCCAGGCACACCGTGATCCCATTCCCCTTCCACGCCAGAACTCACCGACGCAGAGCAGGGCAGGGAGTGTGGAAGACATCGCTCAGATTCTGCCGGCCTAGTGCTGAGCAGTGGGGACTGAGCCGGGCGGGCCAGGGAGATAGATACACAGGAAGTGGTGGGTGAGCACCAGCGCCCATCACCAGAGCGCTTTCACGTTGACTGCTTTCATCAGAACGTTCACAACTCCCCTCCGCCTCTGACCATGAGCTTACAGAAAGGCCGTGGTCCCTCTGACACATCTGTGGTCTAGCCAGCAACTCTGACAATTGTCTGCTCAGCCCAAAATGCATTTCTGGGTCAACTTCTCAATTCTGCAATGTGGAGGTCGTACCCAGAGCTGACTGTGGGAAGTTGTGCCCAATCATGCCCAGAGGAAACCCCCTGAGAATCGTATAAAAACATAGGGAGTTTCACAGTGAGATACTGGAACAGGAATTAAAAGAAATTACAGAATGTGTAAACAAAAACTCAGTTGTATTTAAGAAAACCCAGTTCCCCCCGAGGAAGAGAAAGAGGTGGAGTCCTTTAAACATGAACTGCCTGTTTTTCTGTCTGTGGCTAGTGAGCCTTATCTCTCCCTTTCCCAGGCATTGTGAAGACCCTGTTTCTCTTGCCGTGCGGCTGCAAGGTCACTAGACAGGATAACCTCAAGTCGTAAAACATATTTTTCTTGAAAAGTAAGGAATAATGTGATGCATGTCTCAATTGAATAACTGCCTTTGTTTCTTGCTTCTGTAATATGCTTCCCCCTGCACAGATCTCCCCCAACCCCACAAAATGCTTAAAAGGTAACCGGACTCTCTGTTCGAGCCTCAGTCTTTTTGGATGTTAATCTGACTGGGGCCGGTGCACCTAAATAATAATAATAATAATAAATCCTCCTCAACCCCTCGGTCTCTCTGATTCCTAAATTATCCCTCAACAATACCATCTCACACCAGTCAGAATGGCCATTACTGAAAAGCCAGAAATTAACAGATGCTGGTGAGATTGTGGAGCAAAGGGGACACTTATACACTGTTGGTGGGTGTAAATTAGTTCAGCCACTGTGGAAAGCAGTTTGGTTTGGAGATATTTCAGAGAACTACAAACAGAGTTACCATTCAGCCCAGCAATCCCATCGCTGGGTATATAGCCAAAGGAAAATAAATCATTCTACCAAAAAGACACATGCACTTGTATGTTCATTGCAGCAGGATTCACAATAGTGAAGACATGGAATCCACCCAGGTCCCATCAGAGGTGGACTGGATAAAGACAATGTGATATGTATACACCACAGAACGCTATACAGCCTTGAAAAATCACAAGATTATGTCCTTTGCAGCAACATGGATGCAGCTAGAGGCCATTATCCTAAGCGAGTTAACACAGAAACAGAAAACCAAATACTGGCCAGACACGGTGGCTCAGGCCTGTCATCCCAGCACTTTGGGAGGCTGAGGCAGGTGGATCACCTTAGGTCGGGAGTTCGAGACCAGCCTGACCAACATGCAGAAACCCTGTCTCTACTAAAAATTCAAAATTAGCCGGGTGTGGTGGCACATGCCTGTAGTCCCAACTACTCGGGAGGCTGAGGCAGGAGAATTGCTTGAACCTGGAAGGTGAAGGTTGCAGTGAGCCGAGATGGTGCCATTGTACTCCAGCCTGGGCAACAAGAGTGAAACTCCATCTCAAAAAAAAAAAAAAAAAAGAAAAGAAAACCAAATACCACATGTTCTCACTTATAAGTGAGAGCGCTAAACATTGGGTAAGGAGGGGAGCAAGGCTTGAAAATCTACCTATTTGGTGACTAGATCATTAATGCAAGCCTCAGCATCATGCAATATACTCATAAAAAACCTGCACATGTATCTGCTGAATCTAAAAAGATAAAAATAGGGGTTTTGACGTTGGCTTCTCTGTGTACAGTATACATATGCTTGGATAAGTTAATTGGTTTCATCAGAATGGAATGATAACACTATCTTCTTCAAAGATAGTGTTATAATGTTTCAATAAAATAAAAGTGAAAAGAAAAGCTTTTCATTTAAAGAACTTAATAAGAAAAGAAACATTTCTTTTCTTTTTCTTTTTCTTTCTTTTTTTTTTTTTTTTTTGAGACAGAGTCTTGCTCTGTTGCCCAGGCTGTGGTGCAGTGGTGTGATCTCAGCTCACTGCAACCTCTGCCTTGTGGGTTCAAGCAATTCTCCTGCCTCAGCCACCTGAGTAGCTGGGACTACAGACACCCAACACCACGCCCAGCTCATTTTTGTACTTTTAGTAGAGACCGGTTTTTACCACGTTGGCCAGGATGGTCTCCAACTCCTCACCTCAAGTGAATCTTCCTGCCTCGGCCTCTCAAAGTGCTGGGATTACAGGTGTGAGCCACCACACCCAGCCAAGAAACATTTCTTTTAAGTAAGTAACTAACTCTCCACTTAATAAAAAAAAATTCTATGCAGAAGTTGTTAAGATCTACAGTAAGAAAAAAGAAATTCATGCATTTTATATATACACACATATATACATATATACCTTTTATATATATACACATATATACATTTATACATATATGTATACATATATACATATATGTGTATATATACTGCATAGTACCGTACATGTATATATACACATGCATATATACACATACATGTATATGCGTATATATACACATATATGTATATATACACACATGCATACATGCATATATATGTATACACACATGTATGCGTGTATACATACATATATGTATATACATACATGTATCCGTGTATACATACATATATGTATATACATACATGTATGCGTGTATACATACATGTATGCGTGTATACATACATATACATATATGTATATACATACATGTATATATACATGTATGTATATATGCATATATGTATATACATACATGTATATATACATGTATGTATACATATACGTATATGTGTATATATGTATATACATATATATATACATGTAAGGTACTATGTAGTTTTCAGCATCCACTGGGGCCTTGGAATATATCCTGGTGGATACATGTGACTACTGTACAAGACTAGTTGTATCTTCTTGAGGCAAACAAATGTGCTAATTCTTTTTTTTTTCTCTTTAAGACGGAATCTCACTCTGTCCCTCAAGCTGGGGTGCAGTGGTGCAATCTCAGCTCACTGCAACCTTCACCTCCTGGGTTCAAGCAATTCTCCTGTTCTAGCCTCCCAAGTAGCTGGGATTACAGGCGTGTGCCACCACACTCGACTAATTTTTGTATTTTTAGTAGAGACAGGGTTTCCCCATGTTGGCCAGGCTAGTCTCGAACTCTTGACCTCAAGTGATCAGCCCACTTTAGCCTCCCAAAGTGCTGGGATTACAGGCGTGAGCCACCACACCCAGCCCGCCTCCTTCTTATTTACTGAAGATTCAGTACTCGGTGCTGGCGTTTCCCCTTACACAGCTGTCATAACTCTGGGTGTTTTCTTTATCCTTCCCCCTACGGAGCGCTTGGATGCCCTCTATGGAGGAGACTTATGTAGGCTGGATCCTCAGACCTCAGCCACCCTCTCAGCCATAACATAGTTACCTTCACCAAAGAAATATAAGAATATTGTCTTTTATTATTTTGAGCTTTTAATTTTGACATAATTCCAGACTTGCAAAAATAGTTTAAAGAATTTCTGGCCAGGTGCAGTGGCTCACACCTGTAATCCCAGCACTTTGGGAGGCCGAGGTGGGTGGATTGCTTGAGACGAGCCTGGGGGAAAAAAAAATGCAAAAATTAGCCAGGTGTGGTGCTGTGCGCCTATAGTCCCAGCTACTTGGGAGGCTGAGGTGAGAGGGTCATCTGAGCCCAGGGAGGTAGAAGCTGCAGTGAGCCATGATCGTGCCACTGCACTCTAGCCTGGGTGACAGAGTGTTACCCTGTCTATAAAAAAAAAAAAAATCTGTAATTTCTTCATCCAGATTTCCCCAAAGTTAGCATTTTACCACATTTGCTTCATCATTCAGCCTCTCTCCCTCTCCCTCTCTCCCCGAAGAAAGTGTGTCTAATTTGCATATGATGCCCTAAACCTCTAATCACTTCAGGTTATATTTCCCAAAACCAAGGACATTCTGTTATTAATGTTCAAGGTCAAGAAATAGCACTGATATGACACTATTGTCTGATCTATCCACTTTATTCAAATTTCACCACTTGTTTTACCAGTGACATATATTTGGTTTAGGATTTAATCCAAGATTACACAATTTATTTAATTGTCATGTCTCTCTTATTTGGAGATGGAATCTTGCTCTGTAGCCCAGGCTGGAGTGCAATGGTGTGATCTCAGCTCACTGCAACCTCCGCCTCCTGGGTTCAAGCAATTCTCTTGCCTCAGCTTCCTGAGTAGCTGGGATTAGAGGCACCCACAACCACGCCCAGCTAATTTTTGTATTTCTAGTAGAGATGGGGTTTCGTCAAGTTGGCCAGGCTGGTTTTGAACTCCTGAACTCAACTGATCCACCTGCCTCAGCCTCCCAAAGTGCTGGGATTAGAGGCATGAGCCACCACGCCCAGCCTCCTTTAAAAAATAAAACTATAGACTTTATTCTGATTTCACCAGTTTTTCCACTAGCATCCTTTCTTCGCTCCAGGAGCTCCAGTGATCCGCCTGCCTCAGCCTCCCACCTGCCTCGGCCTCCCAAGGTATTGGGATTACAGGTGTGAGCCATCTGGATCTATTTAATTCAGCCTTAAGCCCACACCAGCATTCCTGGGACTGTCCCCCCTCTACAGACTCTAAGCCATGTTTGAGATGATGAATTTCAAGTCGTGATTCAATCACTTAAGTGGTAAGTGACACAGAGGATATTACTAATCTTTTTTTTTTTTTTTTTTTTTTTTGAGATGGACTCTCGCTCTGTCACCCATGCTGGAGTGCAGTGGCGCAATCTCGGCTCTCTGCAAGCTCTGCCTCCGGGGTTTATGCCATTCTCTTGCCTCAGCCTCCTGAGTGGCGCAATCTCGACTCACTGCAAGCTCTGCCTCCCGAGTTTATGCCATTCTCCTGCCTCAGCCTCCTGAGTAGCTAGGACTACAGGTGCCCACCACCACGTCCGGGTAATCTTTTTTTTTTTTTTTCAAAGTAGAGATGGGGTTTCACCATGTTAGCCAGGATGGTCTCCATCTCCTGACCTCGTGATCCGCCCTTCTCGGCCTCCCAAAGTGCTGGGATTACAGGCGTGAGCCACCGCACCCGGCCTTTTTTTGGTATTTAAAAATATAACTTTATTGAGATATAATTTACATGCCATACAATTACCCATTAAAAGTGCATAATTCAATGGTTTAAATTTTGTGGTATTCACGGAGTTGGTGCAACCGTCAACACAGTCTAATTTTAGAATGTTGTCATCACTGCCCTTCAGAACCCCATGCCGACCAGCTGCCCATCACCACGATCCCCTCACTCTCCCGGCCCTAGGCAACCACTCATCTTCTGTCTCTAAACACCAGAAGGTACTTTTCAAAAATTGTGGCAAAATACACATAACATACATTTTAATATTTAAGAAGTTTTCTAAGGCCAGGTGCAGTGGGTCATGCCTGTAATCCCAGCACTTTGGGAGGCCGAGGTGTGCGGATCACCAGGTCAGGTGATCCAGACTGTCAGGCCTCTGAGCCCAAGCTAAGCCATCATATCCCCCTGTGGCCTGTATGTACACATCCAGATGGCCGGTTCCTGCCTTAACTGATGACATTCCACCACGAAAGAAATGAAAATGGCCTGTTCTTGCCTTAAGTGATGACATTATCTTATGAAATTCCTTCTCCTGGCTCATCCCGGCTCAAAAGCTCCCCTACTGAGCACCTTGTGAACCCCACTCCTGCCCGCCAGAGAACAACCCCCTTTTGACTGTAATTTTCCTTTACCTACCCAAATCCTATAAAACGGCCGCACTCCTATCTCCCTTTGCTGACTCTCTTTCTGGACTCAGCCCGCCTGCACCCAGGTGAAATAAACAGCCTTGTTGCTCACACAAATCCTGTTTGGTGGTCTCTTCACACGGACGTGAGTGAAATTTGGTGCCATAACTCGAATCAGGGGATCTTCCTTAGGAGATCAATCCCCTGTCCTCCTGCTCTTTGCTCCATGAGAAAGATCCACCTACGACCTCTCGTCCTCAGACCAACCAGCCCAAGGAACATCTCACCAATTTTAAATCCAGTAAGCAGCCTCTTTTTACTCTCTTCTCCAACCTCTCTCACTATCCCTCAACCACTTTCTCCTTTCCACTCTTCAATCTCTCCCTTCTCTTAATTTCAGTTCCTTTCCTTTTCTGGTAGAGACAGGAGACGCGCTTTATTCGTGGACCCAAAACTCCAGCGCCGGTCATGGACTCGGGAAGGCAGCCTTCCCTTGGTGTTTAATCACGCGGGGACACCTCTCTGATTATTCACCCACGTTTCAGAGGTGTCTGACCACATGGGGATGCCTGCCTTGGTCCTTCACCCTTAGTGGCAAGTACTGCTTTTCTGGGGGGGCAAGAACCCCCAACTCCTTCTCTGTGTCTCTACCCCTTCTCTGCTTTTCTGGGGGGGCAAGAACCCCCCAACCCCTTCTCCTTCACCCTTAGTGGCAAGTACCGCTTTTCTAGGGGGCAAGAATCCCCCGATCCCTTATTTCTGTGCCCTGACGTCTTATCTCTGCACCCCGATCCCTTATTTCCACACCCCGACCTCTTGTCTCTGCACCCCAATCCCTTACTTCTGTGCCCTGACCCCTTTCCCGCTTTTCTGGAAGGTAAGAACCCCTGAACCCCTTCCCTCCATGTCTCTACTCTCTCTTTTCTCTGTGCTTGCCTCCTTCAGTATGGGCAACCTTCCACCCTCCATTCCTCCTTCTTCTCCCTTAGCCTGTGTTCTTAAAAACCTAAAACCTCTTCAACTCACACCTGACCTAAAACCTAAATGCCTTATTTTCTTCTGCAATGCTGCTTGACCCCAATACAAACTTGACAGTGGTTCCAAATAGCCAGAAAACGGCACTTTCAATTTTTCCATCCTACAAGATCTAAATAATTCTTGTTGTAAAATGGGCAAACGGTCTGAGGTGCCTGACATCCAGGCATTCTTTTACACATCGGTCCCTCCCTAGTCTCTATGCCCAGTGCAACTCGTCCCAAATCTTCCTTCTTTCCCTCCCGCCTGTCCCGTCAGTCCCAACCCCAAGCATCGCTGAGTCTTTCTAATCTTCCTTTTCTACAGACCCATCTGACATCTCCCCTCCTCGCCAGGCCGAGCTGGGTCCCAATTCTTCCTCAGCCTCCGCTCCTCCACCCTATAATCCTTTTATCACCTCCCCTCCTCACACCCGGTCCAGCTTACAGTTCCATTCCATGACTAGCCCTCCCCCAACTGCCCAGCAATTTCCTCTTAAAAAGGTGGCTGAAGCTAAAGGCATAGTCAAGGTTAATGCTCCTTTTTCTTTATCTGACCTCTCCCAAATCAGATAGTGTTTAGGCTCTTTTTCATCAAATTTAAAAACACAGCCCAGTTCATGGCTCATTTGGCAGCAACCCTGAGACGCTTTACAGCCCTAGACCCTAAGTCAAAAGGCCGTCTTATTCTCAATATACATTTTATTACCAAATCTGCTCCCAACATTAAATAAAGCTCCAAAAATTAAATTCTGTCCCTCAAACCCCACAACAAGACTTAATTAACCTCGCCTTCAAGGTGTACAGTAATAGAGTAGAGGCAGCCAAATAGCAACATATTTCTGAGTTGCAATTCCTTGCCTCCACTCCAGTATCCAGATGAGACAAACCCCAGCCACATCTCCAGCACACGAGAACTCCAAACGCCTGAACCGCAGCTGCCAGGGGTTCCTCCAGAACCTCTTCCCCCAGGAGCTTGCTACAAGTACTGGAAATCTGGCCACTGGGCCAAGGAATGTCCACAGCCTGGGATTCCTCCTAAGCCGCATCCCATCTGTGCGGGACCCCACTGAAAATCGGACTGTTCAACTCACCTGGCAGCCACTCCCAGAGCAGCTAGAACTCTGGCCCAAGGCTCTCTGACTCCTTCCCAGATCTTCTCGGCTTAGCAGCTGAAGACTGACACTGCCCGATCCCGATCGCCTCGGAAGCCTACAGGACCATCACAGACAGTCTAGGTAACTCTCACAGTGGAAGGTAAGCCCGTCCCCTTCTTAATCAATATGGAGGCTACCCACTCCACATTACCTTCTTTTCAAGGGCCTGTTTCTCTTGCCTCCATAACTGTTGTAGGTATTGACAGCTAGGCTTCTAAACCTCTTAAAACTCCCCAACTCTGGTGCCAACTTAGACAATACTCTTTCAAGCACTCCTTTTTAGTTATCCCCACCTGCCCAGTTCCCTTATTAGGCTGAGACACTTTAACTAAATTATCTGCTTCCCTGACTATTCCTGGACTACAGCTATATCTCATTGCTGCCCTTCTTCCCAATCCAAAGCCTCCTTTGTGTCCTCCTCTTGTATCCCCCCACCTTAACCCACAAGTATAGGATACCTCTACTCCCTCCTTGGTGACCAATCATGCACCCCTTACCATCTCATTAAAACCTAATCAACCTTACCCCGCTCAATGCCAATATCCCATCCCACAGCATGCTTTAAAAGGATTAAAGCCTGCTACAGCATGGCCTTTTAAAGCCTATAAACTCCCCTTACAATTCTCCCATTTTACCTGTCCTAAAACCAGACAAGGCTTACACATTAGTTCAGGATCTGCACCTTATCAACCAAATTGTTTTGCCTATCCACCCCGTAGTGCCAAACCCATATACTCTCCTATCCTCAATACCTGCCTCTACAACCCATTATTCTGTTCTGGATCTCAAACATGCTTTCTTTACTGTTCCTTTGCACCCTTCATCCCAGCCTCTCTTCGCTTTCACTTGGACTGACCCTGACACCGATCAAGCTCAGCAAATTACCTAGGCTGTACTGCTGCAAGGCTTCACAGACAGCCCCCATTACTTCAGTCAAGCCCAAATTTCTTCCTCCTCTGTTACCTATCTCGGCATAATTCTCATAAAAACACACGTGCTCTCCCTGCCAATCGTGTCCTAGTGATCTCTCAAACCCCAGCACCTTCTACAAAACAACAACTCCTTTCCTTCCTAGGCATGGTTAGCGTGGTCAGAACTCTTACACAAGAGCCAGGACCGCACCCTGTAGCCTTTCTGTCCAAACAACTTGATCTTACTGTTTTAGCCTAGCCCTCACGTCTGTGAGCAGCGGCTGCCGCTGCTTTAATAGTTTTAGAGGCCCTCAAAATCACAAACTATGCTCAACTCACTCTCTACAGTTCTCATAACTTCCAAAAATCTATTTTCTTCCTCACACCTGACGCATATACTTTCTGCTCCCCGGCTCCTTCAGCTGTACTCACTCTTTGTTGAGTCTCCCACAATTACCATTGTTACTGGCCCATACTTCAATCCGGCCTCCCACATTATTCCGGATACCACACCTGACCCCCATGACTGTATCTCTCTGATCCACCTGACATTCACCCCATTTCCCCACATTTCCTTCTTTCCTATTCCTCACCCTAATCACATTTAGTTTATTGATGGCAGTTCCACCAGGCCTAATCGCCACTCACCAGCAAAGGCAGGCTATGCTATAGTATCTTCCACATCTATCATTGAGGCTACCGCTCTGCCCCCTCCACTACCTCTCAGCAAGCCGAATTAGTTGCCTTAACTCAAGCCCTCACTGATGCAAAAGGACTATGCATCAATATTTATACTGACTCTAAATATGCCTTTCATATTCTGCCCCACCATGCGGTCATATGGGCTGAAAGAGGTTTCCTCACTACACAAGGGTCCTCCATCTTTAATGCCTCCTTAATAAAAACTCTGCTCAAGGCCGCTTTACTCCCAGAGGAAGCTGGAGTCATTCACTGCAAAGGCCATCAAAAGTCATCAGATCCCATTGCTCTAGACAATGCCTATGCTGACAAGGTGGCTAGACAAGCAGCTAGCTTTCCAACTTCTGTCTCTCACATCTATGCTTATGCTGATAAGGTAGCTAGACAAGCAGCTAGCATGCCAATTTCTGTCCCCCACAGCCAGTTTTTCTCCTTCTCATCAGTCACTCCCACCTACTCCCCCACTGAAACTTCCACCCATCAATCTCTTCCCACACAAGGCAAATGGTTCTTAGACCAAGGAAAATACCTCCTTCCAGCCTCACAGGCCCATTCTATTCGGTCGATATTTCATAGCCTCTTCCATGTAGGTTACAAGCTGCTAGCCCATCTCTTAGAACCTCTCATTTCCTTTCCATCCTGGAAATCTATCCTCAAGGAAACCACTTCTCAGTGTTCCATCTGCTATTCTACTACCCCTCAGGGATTGCTCAGGTCCCCTCCCTTCCCTACACATCAGGCTCGGGGATTTGCCCCCGCCTAGGACTGGCAAATTGACTTTACTCACATGCCCTGAGTCAGGAAACTAAAATACCTCTTGGTCTGGGTAGACACTTTCACTGGATGGGTAGAGGCCTTTCCCACAGGGTCTGAGAAGGCCACCGAGGTCATTTCTTCCCTTCTGTCAGACATAATTCCACAGTTTGGCCTTCCCACCTCTATACAGTCTGATAGCAGACCGGCCTTTATTAGTCAAATCAGCCAAGCAGTTTTTCAGGCTCTTGGTATTCAGTGAAACCTTTATATCCCTTACAGTCCTCAGTCTTCAGGAAAAGTAGAACAGACTAATAGTCTTTTAAAAACACACCTCACCAAGCTCAGCCACCAACTTAAAAAAGACTGGACAATACTTTTACCACTTTCTTTTCTCAGAATTCAGGCCTGTCCTCAGAATGCTAAAGGGTACAGCCCATTTGAGCTCCTGTATAGACGCTCCTTTTTATTAAGCCCCAGTCTCATTCCAGACACCAGACCAACTTGGAATGTGCCCCCAAAAACTTGTCATCCCTACTATCTTCTGTCTAGTCATACTCCTATTCACCATTCTCAACTACTCACACATGCCCTGCTCTTGTTTACACTGCTGGTTTACACTGTTTTTCCAAGCCATCACAGCTGATATCTCCTGGTGCTATCCCCAAACCACCACTCTTAACTCTTGAAGTAAATAAATAATCTTTGCTGGCAAGGCTATGCTGAACCTCCTTAGGCACTCTCTAATTAGATGTCCTAGGTCCTCCCAATTCTTAGACCTTTAATACCTGTTTTTCTCCTTTCCTTATTCCATTTAGTTTTTCAATTCATACAAAACTGCATCCAGGCCATCACCAGTAATTCTAAATGAAAAATGTTTCTTCTAACAATCCCACAATATCACCCCTTACCACAAAATCTTCCTTCAGCTTAATCTCTCCCACTCTAGGTTCCCACGCCGCCCCTAATCCCGCTCGAAGCAGCCCTGAGAAACATCGCCCATTCTCTCTCCATACCACCCCCCAAAATTTTCGCCATCCCAACACTTTACCACTATTTCGTTTTATTTTTCTTATTAATATAAGAAGACAGGAATGTCAGGCCTCTGAGCCCAAGCTAAGCCATCATATCCCCTGTGACCTGCACGTACACATCCAGATGGCCGGTTCCTGCCTTAACTGATGACATTCCACCACGAAAGAAATGAAAATGGCCTGTTCCTGCCTTAACTGATGACATTATCTTGTGAAATTCCTTCTTCTGGTTCATCCTGACTCAAAAGCTCCCCTACTGAGCACCTTGTGACCCCCCACTCCTGCCCACCAAAGAACAACCCCCCTTTGACTGTAATTTTCCTTTACCTACCCAAATCCTATAAAACGGCCCCACCCCTATCCCCCTTCGCTGACTCTCTTGTCGGACTCAGCCTGCCTGCACCCAGGTGAAATAAACAGCCTTGTTGCTCACACAGAGCCTGTTTGGTGGTCTCTTCACACGGACGCGCATGAAACAGACCAGCCTAGCCAACATGGTGAAACCCCGTCTCCACGAAAATACAAGAAATTAGCCGGGCGTGGCGGTGCGCACCTGTAGTTCCAGCTACTCGGGAGGCTGAGGCAGGGGAATCACTTGAACCTGGGAGGCGGAGATTGCAGTGAGCCCAGATCACACCAGCGTAGCGACAGAGTGAAACTCTGTCTCAAAAAAAAAAAAAAAAAAAAAAGAAAAAGAAGTTTTCTAAGGCCAGGCGCAGTGGCTCATGCCTGTAATCCAAGCACTTTTGGGAGGCTGAGGCGGGCAGATCACCTGAGGCCGGGAGTTCGAGACCGGCCTGACCAACATGGTGAAACCCTGTCTCTACTAAAAATACAAAAATGAGCTGGGCATGGCGGCGGGTGCCTGTAATCCCAGCTTCTTGGGTGCGGGGGGGATCTGTTCTGCAGATCCCAGCTGTACGACAGATGAGACACGTCCTCAGACACCAATATTCAGTGAAAGAGCAGGCCAGGGGGCTGCCGGCACTAGGAGCCAAAGAGAGTGCAGCCCCTCTAAGCTGGCAACGCTTGCATTTATTTAGCACAGATTTAATTAACAAAGGCTTTGAGTCAACACACCTGTGGGTAATTAACCTGGTCACCGCCCCCCGCCACCTCCCTGGAGAGGGCCATCTTGCCCGAGAATGATCAAAGGTTGATTTTAGGACCATATGACTAAGCAAGCTATTTAGATAAAATACTCCGCATTCCTTTGTATCTGCGCCCTAAGCTGTTTGGCTCCTGAAAAGAGAATCTGGCTGCTTTCAGCCAAACTATCTGAAGCTATGCCAACCTCCCTGGCCTTCCAAGAAGGTTTGCTGCTTCCTATTCCTATAATTTCTTCTGCTACTCTGACTGATCTCCCACACTTGGGAGGTTGAGGCAGGAGAATCCCTTGAACCAGGGAGGCAGAGGTTGCAGTGAGCCGAGATCACACTACTGCACTCCAACTTGGGTGACAAGAGCGAGACTCCATCTCAGAAAAAAAAGTTAAAAAAAAATTGTAGGCCAGGCGTGGTGGCTCACGCCTGTGATCCCAGCACTTTGGGAGGCCAAGGCGGGTGGATCACCTGAGGTCCAGAGTTCGAGACCAGCCTGACCAACATGGAGAAACCCCGTCTCTTCTAAAAATATAAAATTAGCCAGGCGTGGTGGCGCATGCCTGTAATCCCAGCTGCTCTGGAGGCTGAGGCAGGAGAATGGCTTGAGCCCAGGAGGCGGAGGTTGCGGTGAGCCGAGACCGCACCATTGCACTCCAGCCTGGGCAACAAGAGTGAGACTCTGTCTCAGAAAAAAAAAAAAAAAAATTGTAGTAAAAACATAACATACAATTTACCATCTTAGCCATTGTAAGTGTACAGTATAGCAGTGTTAAATGTATTCACGGTGTTTTGAAACAGATCTCCAGAATATTTTCATCTTGTAAAACTGAAACTCTATGCCTAAAAGAGGAATCGTTCAACACATAGAAGTTTTATTTCAACCATTTTTGTTGTTGTTGTTGAGATGGAGTCTTGCTCTGTCACCAAGGCTGGAGTGCGGTGGTACGATCTTGGCTCACTGCAACCTCCGCCTCCTGGGTTCAAGCCATTCTCCTGCCTCAGCCTCCTCAGTAGCTGGTAATGCAGGTGCGTGCCACCACACCTGGCTAATTTTTGTATTTTTAGTAGAGACGGGGTTTTGCCATGTTGGCCAGGCTGGTCTCGAACTCCTGGCCTCGTGATCTGCCTGCCTTAGCCTCCCAAAGTGCTGGGATTTCAGGTGTGAGCCACTGCGCTCAGCCTGGGAAATGTATACTTCAGAGATTGTTGGATTTTCAGGGCCTTCTGTGGCTTGACGTCATCTGGAAAAGTGTGGTCATTGGGAAGATATTACTTTGATTGGTTGTCACTCATGCTTGGGTGTTTACTGAAATGAGTCTGATTGGATGACTTTTAGAAGCAAGGAGCTGCCTGACTGATGGTAACATAACAATATAAAACGTATGGAGTGGCCGGGCTTTGTGGCTCACTCCTGTAATCCCAGCACTTTGAGAGGCTGAGGCAGGCAGATCACCCTGAGGTCAGAAGTTTGTGACCAGCTTGGCCAACATGGCGAAACCCGTCTGTACTAAAAATACAAAAATTATCTGCGTGTGGTGGCAGGTGCCTATAATCCCAGCTACTGGGGAGGCTGAGGCAGGAGAATTGCTGAACCCGGGAAAGAGAGGTTGCAGGGAGCCGAGGTCACGTCACTGCTCCCCAGCCTGGGTGACAGAGCAAGACCCCGTCTCAAAAAAAAAAAAAAAAAAAAAGAGCATCTTCACAGAGATGAGTTGTCATTGATGATGGGTTAAAAATCAGTTTTGGTGGCTACTTGTTACTGTGGTTACAGGACAATAAAATACTTTTCTGAAGAGCTCAGGAACTTTATTATTCTGAAAACGCTTTTTCCAAACAAGGTCCTTCTGTCAGCAAAACGACTTATATGAGTTTAATCTTATCCATCTCTGGGAATCTAGCCCCATTGTGTCTCTGTAATCCAAGTCCTGGACCTGACGTAAAGTCCCTCAACCCCCTTCATCCAAAATTGTGGCACTTTCCCTTTATTTATTTATTTATTATTTATTTGTTTGTTTACTTTTGAGACGGAGTCTCGCTCTGTGGCCCAGGCTGGAGTGTAGTGGCGTGATCTCAGCTCATTGCAAGCCCCGCCTCCCAGGTTCACGCCATTCTCCTGCCTCAGCCCCTGGAGTAGCTGGGACTACAGGCACCTGCCACCACACCTGGTGAAAAAAATCAGAACAAACTGAAGATATGGGCCAGAACTTGTATAAAGTGTGAAAAGCAGTCAATAAAGAAAGTTAGAAATACTTTGCATTTTTTTTTTAATCACAGGACCTGAGTTAAGCCAAGAATACAGTAGAAATTTTATCAAGTAGAGATAAGCTCTCAGTAAAGGATAAAAGTGGGCCTAAGTCCCTTCAGTTTCACTGGAAGTAGGACCCTTACATTTTATAATTATATTTTCATACATAAGCTACTGGACAATGAAGTAAATAGCAATCAGTGAAAGAGCCACATATGACCAACTTAGATTTCCTTGAGTAAAGTCTGTCAAGGGTAAAGCTGTGAAAGTTTATAAGAAAAAAGAATGGGGAATTATTTGGAAGACCATTTGAGTTTTGTACACAAGAATTTAATGTTTGCACACTTGATAATATATGTGAATATCATCAAAACTAAGTGAAAAAATAAATTAATGAGGTGAAACACATGCCTGTATTCCTTGTATGAAAATCCGGTAGAAATAGGGTTTGTGAAATAAATAGGGTAATCCTCCTGTAGGATTATGACTTTCACTCTTATCAATTTGTAGATGAACACAGCAGGAGGCTGAGGTAGGAGGATTGCTTGAGACCAGGAGTTCAAGACCAGCTTAGGCAACATAGGGAGAGCCTCACTTCAACAAAAAAAAATAAAGGAGGGGGGTTATTGAATATATTTGGCATGCTTACCAACCATTTATATTTGGGGAAGACACATTTAAAAATATAAAAAGAAGGCTGGGCGCAGTGGCTCACATCTGTAATCCCAGCACTTTGGGAGGCCGAGGCGGGCAGATCACGAGGTCAGAAGTTTGAGACCAGCTTGGCCAATGTGATGAAACCCCGTCTCTACTAAAAATACTGTAAAAGTAGCTGGGCGTGATGGTGGGAGCCTGCAATCCCAGCTACTTGGGAGGCCGAGGCAGGAGAATCACTTGAACCCAGGAGGCAGAGGTTGCAGTGAGCCGAGATCGTGCCACTGCACTCCAGCCTGGGCAACAGAGTGAGACTCTGTCTCAAATAAAAATAAAAATAAAAATAAATAAAATAAATAAAAAAAGAGAAGAACAATGAAGGAAGAAATTAAACAGGATATAAAAAATCAGAAGACAGATAAGATGGAAAACCATAACTTATGTGCAGAAAGGTGGGTGCAAATCGATCAGTCCTGCATAAGAAAACACCATTTGATTGGTTTGAACATGCATCTGGCCAGGCGTGGTGGCTCATGCCTATAATCTCAGCACTTTGGGAGGCCAAGGTGGGTGGATCACCTGAGGTCAGGAGTTCGAGACCAGCCTGGCCAACACAGTGAAACCCCATCTCTACTAAAAATACAAAAATTAGCTGGGTGCAGTGGTATGTGCCTGTAATTCCAGCTACTTGGGAGGCTGAGGCACAAGAATCACTTGAACCCAAGAGGTTCAATGAGCCGAGATTGCTCCACTGCACTCCAGCCTGGGTGACAGAGCCAGACTCTGTCTCAAAAAAAAAAAAAAGTAGATTCAAGCTTCTTAGTGAGCTTTTCTCTCTTGTGTCCTTCAAGTAGCTTTGTCGGACTCCACAGTCCTGGCTCCTCTCTGCCTTCACCTCCAGGTGTTTACTTGCAGACACTTGGTGTTCGTGCAAAGGTCAATCCTGGCTGACACATCTGTTGGCTCCAGCTCGGTTCAGCCACATCTGCCGAGGCTTCCTTGTTCAGTGCCGTATGGCTGTGCCAATTTTCAACCAGTATGGCCAAGAGAGCCACGAGGACCAGTCCTGCCACGGCCATGCGGATCAAGTTCTGCGTCGTGTAATCTTGGTGGATGGAGTCTGGAGACACAATTCAAGGAGATGAATGGTTGGTGGTTGTGTTCCATTCCATCCCAACCCCAGAGCCCTGAAACGGGAGCTCATTTTCCTTTTCGCTTGCCAAAATGGGACTCCCTCAAGCATCCCCTCAATGAGCTCATGCTTCGCCAGCACCACACTGATCAGTCAGCAAGACTGTGTTCACGGGCAAGGAACTGTGCTTCCCAGGGAAGTGCTATAAACTGGGAAGGAGGTGATTATGGGCAGGTTGTGTGTGTTTTTTTTTTTTTTTTTTTTTGAGATGGAGTCTCACTCTGTTGCCCAGGCTGGAGTGCAGTGGCGTGATCTCGGCTCACTGCAACCTCCGCCTCCCTGGTCAAGTGATTCTCCTGCCTCAGCCTCCCAAGTAGCTGGGATTACAGGCGCCCACCACCACCACGCCTGGTTAATTTTTGTATTTTTAGTGGAGATGGGGTTTCACTATGTTGGCCAGGCTGGTCTCGAACTCCCGACCTCAGGTGATCCACCTGCCTCAGCCTCCCAATGTGCTCAGATTACAGGCGTGAGCCATCGTGCCCAACCATGTTTTTTTTTTTTTTCTTGAGGTGGAGTCTCGTTCTGTCACCCAGGCTGGAGTGCAATGGCGTGATCTTGGCTCACTGCAACAGCTGCCTCCTGGGTTCAAGTGATTCTCCTGCCTCAGCCTCCTGAGTAGCTGGGACGACAGGCTCACGCCACCACGCCCGGCCAGGCAGGTTGTGTTTTCTTTTCATTCTCTCCTCACTTGGTGAATTCACTAAATACCTAATCACATCTCTACAACACCAGAACAAGGTGGAATCCTAATAAGAATGTGTGCAGCCTGGCCAGGCGCGGTGGCTCACGCCTGTAATCCCAGCACTTTGGGAGGCCGAGGCAGGTGGATCACCTGAGGTCGGGAGTTCGAGACCAGCCTGGCCAACATGGTGAAACCCTGTCTGTGTGGTCCCAGCTACTCAGGAGGCTGAGGCAGGAGAATTGCTTGAACCTGGGAGGCGAAGGTTGCAGTGAGTCGAGATCGTGCCACTGCACTCCAGCCTTGGCGAAAGAGCAAGACTCTATCCCGGAAAATAAAATGAAATAAATAAAATGAAACAAACTGAGTTAGCCCTTCTGTTCTCCACAGACTAAGTTTTCAATGAACCCTGTCTGGAGAACTCTAGCGAGGAAGTGAAAGCGGAAAGTGTGGTGGGGAAGCCTTTCTCTCTCCACTGTCCTGGAGTGAGAGCCTTTGCCTCTCTTCACTTCACTCTCAGTGCACGTCTTCATATTCCTGCCCGGTGGCAAGGCCCTGGACAGCCAACCCAGACACAGGGCTGGACTGGGCGGTACCTACCTGTGACCACAAGCTCCAAGGCATTACTGGGGAAGGACCACAGGTAGGGGCTCCTGTTGTACCAACCGTAGCACCTGTAGATCCCTGAGACATTGAGGTCCACAGGACCCAAAGAGAAGTTGGCCGGGTGTTCCCCACTTTGGTGCTGTGGCAGAGAAAGTTCTCCCTCCTTGGCCAGTGAAAATCTATCAAATGGGATGTGTGCTGAGCTGCACGTGAGGGAAATATTCTCTCCTGGCATCAACACCAGACCCCGATCTGCAGAGAGGAAGGGTTTGCCATACAAGCCTAAGAGAGAAAAGAGTGAGCTATTAGAAAGACCTTTTCTCCTTTATTCTTTTCTTCTTCTTATTATTGTTATTATTATATATTTTTTTGAGATGGAGTTTCGCTCTTATTGCCCAAGCTGGAGTGCAGTGGCGTGATCTCAGCTCACTGCAACCTCCGTCTCCCGGGTTCAAGCAATTCTCCTGCCTCAGCCTCCCGAGAAACTGGGATTACAGGTGCGTACCACCACGCCCAGCTAATTTTTGTATTTTTAGTAGAGACGGGGTCTCTCCATGTTGGTCAGGCTGGTCTCGAACTCCTGACCTCAGGTGATTTGCCCACCTTGGCCTCCCAAAGTGCTGGGATTACAGGCATGAGCAACTGTGCCCAGCCTATTATTGTTTTTTGAGATGGAGTCTCACTCTGTCACTGAGGCTGCAGTGCAGTGGCACGATCTCAGCTCACTGCAACCTCCACCTCCGAGGTTCAAGTGAGTCTCCTGCCTCAGCCTCCCGAGTAGCTGGGATTACAGGCACCCGCCACCACGCCCAGCTAATTTTTGTATTTTTAGTAAAGATGAGGTTTCTCCATGTTGGTCAGGCTGGTCTTGAATCCCTGACCTCAGGTGATCCACCTGCCTCAGCCTCCCAAAGTGCTGGGATTACAGGCGTGAACCACAGTGCCCAGCCTCTTTTTTCTTTTTTAGAATTTATTTATTTTAGAGAGGGTCTCACTCTGTCGCCCAGGCTGAGGGCAGTGGCATAATCACGGCTCACTGCAGCCTCGACCTCCCAGGCTCAGGTGATCCTACCATCTCAGCCTCTCAAGTAACTGAGACTACAGGTGGGTGCCACCATGCCCAGCTAATTTTTTGATTTTTTGTACAGATGGGGTCTTACTATGTTGCCCAGGCTGGTCTCCTGGGCTTAAGTGATCTGCCCATCTCGGCTTCTCAAAGTGCTGGGATTACAGGCGTGAGCCACGGCGCCCAGCCTCCCAAAGTGCTGGGATTACAGGCACGAGCCACGGTGTCTGGCCACAGTTACTACTTCAGCCAGGCTTTCAACAACAGCCAGCTCAACATCCACAGTCATGTTCCCATGGACAGTTTAAACCTTTGCTATGAGGAGATGAAATGGCACTTTGCTTCTGTGGTCTTGCCTGCAATGACCCATAACTCAGTCTAGTCATGAGCAAAACATCGGACAATTTCCAGTAGTGGGAGTACCCTTGAAAATAATGGACCACTACCCTCAAAACTGACAAGGTCATGGAAAACCAGCAACATCTGAGAAGCTGTGACAGCCAAGACAAACCTAAAGATACATGACACCTGCCGGGCACGGTGGCTCACGCCTGGAATCCCAGCACTTTGGGAGGCCAGGTGCGGTGGCTCATGCCTGTAATCCCAGCATTTTCGGGGGCCGGGCGTGGTGGCTCACGCCAGTAATCCCAGCACTTTGGGAGGCCAGGCGGGCGGATCACGAGGTCAGAAGATTGAGACCATCCTGGCTAACACAGTGAAACCCTATCTCTACTAAAAATACAAAAAATTAGCCAGGCGTGGTGGCGGGCGCCTGTAGTCCCAGCTACTCGGGAGGCTGAGGCAGGAGAATGGCGTGAACCCGGGAGGTTGGAGCTTGCAGTGAGCCGAGATTGTGCCACTGCACTCCAGCCTGGGCAACACAGCGGGACTCCATCTCAAAAAAAAAAAAAAAAAAAAAAATAAAGATACATGACACCTGAATGCAATGTGAAATCTTTTTGTGTGTGTGTGTGTGAGATGGAGTCTCGCCCTGTCGCCCAGCCTGGAGTGCAGTGGTGTGATCTTGGCTCACTGCAACCTCTGCCTCCTGGGTTCAAGCGATTCTCCTGCCTCAGCCTCCCAAGTAGCTGGGATTACAGGCGTGTGCCACCAGGCCTGGCCAATTTTTTCCATTTTTAGTAGAGACGAGGTTTCACTGTGTTGGCCAGGCTGGTCTCGAACTCCTGACCTCAGGTGATCCACCCACCTCAGCCACCCAAAGTGTTGGGATTACAGGCGTGAGCCACCGCGCCCAGCGATTGTTGCATTTTCAGTAGAGACGGGGAATTCACCATGTTGGCCAGGCTGGTCTCGAACTCCTGACCTTGGGTGATCCACCCGCCTCGGCTTCCCTAAGTGTTGGGATTACAGGCGTGAGCCACCACTCCCAGCCGCAATGTGAAATCTTGAATGGGATCCTGGAACAGAGAAAGACTATCAGGTAAAAACTAAGAAAATGTAAATAAACTGTAGACTGTAGCTGGGAATGTGTCGATATTTGTTCATTAATGGTAAGAAATGTGCCATACTAATGTAAGATGTTAACTCTGGGGGAAGTGGGGTGCCAGATGGCTGAGAACTCTCTGAAGCAATCATCAATTTTTTTTTGTTTGTAAATCTAAAACTTCTTGAAAAATACTCTATTAAAAATAAGAAAAAAATCACACCAGGGCTGTGGACCCTGGATGTTTCCTTACCTGTCACTACCAGCTCCAGGGTGTCACTGTACCGGAACCTGTAGTGCCCTATCCTATATTGGCACTGATAGCGCCCTGCCTTGTTTGCGTCCATGTGGTCAATGACGAACTCAGGATCAGTCTCATTCCAAAACTTCAGTCTTCTGCCTATCTCTCGGTACGTGGAGTTTTTTATGATCATCAGCTGGGTCAGGTAAGCTTCACGAATGGCCTGGCACTGGATTTTCACAGATCCATCCAAGGGAATCACAGGACTCGATTTGGCAGATATGAAAGGCATGGGAAAGTCCCCTGGAAGAAAAGAAAGCCCAGACTGAGGTGGCTTGCCATGGGGAAGCCATTCCTTTCCTTCTCTGTGGGAGAAGTAAAAATACATTAGGGTGTGAAGAACCTACCATTCTTTATTTAAAAAAAAATTTAGGCCGGGTGCGGTAGCTCACGCCTGTATTCCCAGCACTTTGGGAGGCCGAGGCGGGTGGATCACAAGGTGACGATATCAAGACCATCCTGGCTAACACGGTGAAACCCCGTGTCTACTGAAAATACAAAAAATTAGCAGGACGTGGTGGCGGGCGCGTGTAGTCCCAGCTACTCGGGAGATTGGGGCAGGAGAATGGCGTGAACCTGGGAGGCAGAGCTTGCAGTGAGCCGAGATCACACCACTGCACTCCAGCCTGGGCAACAGAGTGAGACTTCGTCTCAACAACAACAACAAAAAAATTAAAAAAAGAGAAAAATTTAAATAATTTGTGATGCTGAGGTTTGGAGTACGATTGATCCTGTCACCCAGGTACTGAGCATAGTACCCAATAGGCAGTTTTTCAACCCCCTTTCTTCCCCCCCATCTAGTAGTCTCCAGTGTCTATGGTTGCCATCTTTATTTTTTATTGTTATTATTTTTCGAGACAGAGTCTTGTTTTGTCGCCCAGGCTGCAGTGCAGTGGTGCAATCTCAGCTCCTCCGCCTCCCGGGTTCAAGCAATTCTGCTGCCTCAGCCTTCCGAGTAGCTGGGATTACAGGTGCCCACCACCATGCCTGGATAATTTTTGTATTTTTAGTAGAAACGGGGTTTCACCATGTTGGCCAGGCTGGTCTTGAACTCCTGACTTCAAGTGATCCACCTGCCTCGGCCTCCCAAAGTGCTGGGATTACAAGCGTGAGCCACCGCACCTGGCTGCAACTGGGGTTTTTGCAGAGGCAACACTGAAGCCAGGGGGACCTCCGCAGGCATTGACCCCAGAGCAGTCGGGTGCCGTTACCACAGCCCCCGCAGAGGCCACGGGCATGGTGCGTGGGAGCAGTGAGATGGCTCCACCTGCCGTTACTCCACAAGGCTCAAGGCCAGTTTCCAGCATAGTGGCCCAGCTTCTGCCTGAACTCTGCCCGGGGTCGTGGCTGCATGCTTCCCTGGAAAGCACCCAGATGGTGAAGTGGGTGACTCCACCCACCCCTGCCACTTGCAGCCAGACGGGCCAGGCTTGCTGGGTCTTCCAGCGCTGCAGACCCCCTTCTGCCTGAACTCTGTGGGGTGTGCAGCTCTGTGTTTTTCTTTTCTTTTCTTTTTTTGTTGAGATGAAGTCTCACTCTGTTGCCCAGGCTGGAGTGCAGTGGTGTGATCTTGGCTCACTGCAAGCTCCGCCTCCCGGGTTCACACCATTCTTCTGCCTCAGCCTCCCGAGTAGCTGGGACTACAGGCGCCCGCCACCACGCCTGGCTAATTTTTTTTTGTATTTTTAGTAGAGACGGGGTTTCACCATGTTATCCAGGATGGTCTCAGTCTCCTGACTTCGCAATCTGCCCATCTCGGCCTCCTAAAGTACTGGGATTACACGTGTGAGCCACCATGCCCAGTAGCTCTGTGTTCCCCTGGGAAGCACTGAGATGGCAGATCATGTGGCTCCAATCACCCTTGCTGAGAAGGACTCACCACGTTAGGTGGCGACCAAGCCGTGAGGAGCCCTCATTCTCAGAACGTTCAGAGGGGTGAAACACCTGATTTCATCAGCCTGCAGAGGTGCGGGGTGGTCCTCCCTCCATAGGGCTGGCCGGGGAAGGATACAGCCTGTCTGCCCACCATGCCCTGCCTGAGGGAGCCCCGTGGGCAGAACAATCCTAACAAAGGAAACAGTGGGTGCAGAGCCAGTGACTGTAGGAGGCTCCTCCAAGGCCCAAGAATGGACCAGGCGAGGGAGTCACCCCTCCTCACAACCACAGAGCACTACTGCCGACTTTGTCAAAATACAAGAGTTAGGGGGCCAAGGCAGGCAGATTGCTTGAGCCCAGGAGTTTGAGACCAGCCTGGTAAACATGGTGAAACCCCATCTCTACAAAAAAAAAAAAAAAATTACAAAAATTTTCTCTTTATGGTGCTGCGTGCTTGTAGTCCCAGCTACTCAGGAGGCTGAGGCAGGAGGATCACTTAGCCTGATAGGTAGAGGCTGCAGTGAGCCGAGATTGTGCCACTGTGCTCCAGCCTGGGCGACAGAACAAGACCCTGTGTCAAAAAACGAAACAAAAAACGAAACAAAACTACAAAAGAGCCTTGTGGCTAAGATCCTGTATGCTGGCCAACCCTTTTAAGTGCCACCTACTGGATCACACTTCAAAATACAACACTGAAAAATTTTGCCAGTATACAATGAAGGGAAAAATTCAGCCACAAATAAAGATCCTGTGCAGAGTCCTGGCATCTGAAAACACCCAGAAATGAAGCCAAGCGACTGTACTCAACCGACATCACAGTTAAAGGAACACCAGCCCTCACACAAGAGAAAGAATCAACACCAAGGCCGGGCGCGGTGGCTCACACCTGTAATCCCAGCACTTTGGGAGGCTGAAGTGGGCAGATCACCGGAGGTCAAGAGTTTGAGACCAGCCTGACCAACGTGACAAAACCCGGGCTCTACTAAACATACAAAAATTAGCCGGGCGTGGTGGCACACACCTGTAATCCCAGCTACTCAGGAGGCTGAGACAGGAGAATCGCTTGAACCCGGGAGGTGAAGGTTGCAGCAGTGAGCTGAGATCGTGCCACTGCACTCCAGCCTGGGCGACAGAGTAAGACTCTGCCACAAAAAAGAAAAAAAAAAGAAAAAAAAAAAAGAATCAACACAAGAACTCTGGCAACTCGATAGTTCCCCAGAAATCTGGTTCTTAGCTACATTGAGATGAATGAAACGAGGGTTATAGAATTCAGAATCTGGATGGCCAGGACGCTCTTCGAAATTGAGGAGAAATTTGAAACACAATCCAAGGGGTCCATGGTGGGGACACACTGGCTTTTTGAGTTCCCAGAATTCTTTTTCATGTGTGGGGGCCCGGTCATTATGCCACAGCCATCAGACAGAGAGGAGTCCAGTCTCTCTTCCCCGTGAGCTCCCACCCCCACTTTACCAGGCAGAGCCCCCAGCTCGGGAGTGCAGAGCAGCTGCCCCGCCCTCAGCACACTCACTGGTGGTGGCTCGTGTTTCCCTGGGGAGTGGCTCCCAGAGGCAACTGACAGCCCCTCTGCCACTGCCATGGCAAGGGTTCTGCCTCTGCTGCCCGTGATCTGGGGAAGAAGCAAGGAGCCTGGGGCCTTCATTCATGCTTCAATTTATTTATTTATTTATTTATTTATTTATTTATTTATTTATTTATTTATTTGAGACGGAGTCTCGCTCTGTCGCCCACGCTGCAGTGCAGTGGCCCGATCTCGGCTCACTGCAAGCTGCGCCTCCCGGGTTCACACCATTCTCCTGCCTCAGCCTCATCCTCCTCCCGAGTAGCTGGGACTACAGGCGCCCGCCACCACGCCCGGCTCATTTTTTGTGTTTTCAGTAGAGACGGGGTTTCACCAGATTAGCCAGGATGGTCTCGATCTCCCGACCTCGTGATCCGCCCGCCTCGGCCTCCCAAAGTGCTGGGATTCCGGGCGTGAGTCCACCGCGCCCGGCCTTCATTCATGCTTCCAGCACACCGCAGTCGCCATACGGAGAGGAGCTCAGTCTCCTCTCCCTGTGAGCCCTCAACCCCCTGCTCTTCAACAAGCCCCAGCTTGATTCCGCGGCACAACAGCCCCACCCTCTGGCGGAGCGTTCCCAGCAGCTGTGAGTCTGCGTTTCTCTGTGGCGGAGCTCCCAGAGGCAACGGAAGGTCACTCTGCCGCTGCCACTGCGGTGGTACTGGCCTTGCTGCCCTCAGACTGGGGAAGGAGCAAAGACTCTGAGTGCTTCAACCACACCTCCGGCAAACTGCCCTAAGGAGAAGAGGCCAGTCTGTCACCCCTGTGACCCACCTGTCCCCCCTGCTCATCACTAGGCAGGGCCCCTAGCTTGGACCCACAGTGCAGTCGCCTCACTCTTGGCTCATCGCACTGATAGTGGCTCCACATCTCTCTGGGGTGGAGTTCCAAGGGACAAGTGAAAGGCCGTCTGCCACAACCGCTGCTAAGGTCCCTTCCCCTGCTGCCCCCAAGCCACGGAGGGAACATAAAGTCTGAGCTCACCCCAGAGCTGTGATGTGCAGCCTGGGAGTGCCGAGCCCAGATCTGCAGCCAGCACTTGGGTGGGAGAGGAGCCCGCACTTTCAGAGCGTGAGAGGGAGCACAGCGGCAATCATGAGGAATGACCTACTGGCCGTTGTGCTGAAGCATCATTTACCGGATTGCAGCCCAAACTTCAACACCAAAAATGCTCGCTAATATACCTCCCTGTGAAACCAAGGACAAGAATTTAGCTATAAATAAAGACCCTGTGCGAAGCCCCAGCCCTCTGAAACCATCCAGAAAAGAAGTCTACTGACTGTGCTCAAATTACATCACGGTTAAAAGAAAAAAGAAAAAAATTCAAATTGCAGCACACTCAAAGGAACATTAGCCCACATGGATGAGAAAGAACTGAGCAAGAACTCCATCAACTCAAAAAGCAACAGTGTCTTCCTTCCTCCAAATTACCACACAAGCTTCCCAGCAAGGGCTCTTTACCTGGCTGAAATGACAGAAATAGAATTCAGAATATGGATAGAAATTAAGGTCATCAAGATTCAGGAGAAAGTTGAAACCCAATGCAAGGAACCTAAAGATTACAATAAAATGACAGAGGGGCTAATCTATGAGATGGTCATTTTGAAAGAACCAAACGGATCTGATGGAGCTGAAAAACACACTACGAGATTTCATAATGCGATCACAAGTATTAATGGCAAAATAAAGCAAAATAAGGAAAGAATCTCAGAGCATGAATACTGGCTCTCTGAACTAATTCAGTCAGACAAAAATGAAGAAAAAGAATAAAAATTAATGAACAAAACCTCTAAGAAATATGGGATCATGAAAAGAGACCAAATAGCCCATTGGCATCCCCGAAAGAGATGGGGAGAAAGCAAGGAACATGGAAAACATATTTCAGTGTATTGTTCATGAAAACTTCCCCAACGTCACTAGAGAGGCCAAGAATCAAATGCAGGAAACAGAGAACCCCTGCAAAATACTACACAAGAAGAGCATCCCCAAGACACAAAATCATCAGATTCTTCAAGGTAGAAATGAAAGAAAGAAATGTCGGCCGGGCGCGGTGGCTCACGCCTGTAATCCCAGCACTTTGGGAGACCAAGGCGGGCGGATCACGAGGTCAGGAGATTGAGACCATCCTGGCTAACATGGTGAAACCCCATCTCTACTAAAAAAATATAAAAAATTAGCTGGGCGTGGTGGTGGGCACCTGTAGTCCCAGCTACTGGGGAGGCTGAGGCAGGAGAATGGCGTGAATCCGGGAGGCGGAGCTTGCAGTGAGCCGAGATCACGCCATTGCACTCCAGCCTGGCAGCCTGGGCAACAGAGCAAGACTCAGTCTCAAAAAAAAAAAAAAAAATGTGAAAAGGCAGCAAAAAAGAAGGGGCAGGTCACCTACAAAGGGAATGCCATCGAGCTAACAGCAGACCTTTCAGCAGAAACTCTACAATCCAGAAGAGATTGGGGGCCTATATTTAATGTTCTTATGAAAAGAATTTCCAACCAAGAATCTCATTCCCAGCCAAACTAAGTTTCATAAGTGAAGGAGAAATAAGATCCTTTACAGACAAGCAAATGCTGAGGGAATTTATTACCATCAGGCCTGCCTTACAAGAGGTCCTAAGAGGAACGCTAAATATGGAAAGAAAAGACCATCACCAGCCAATAGAAAACACACTTACGTACATAAACCAGTGACACTATAAAACAACCACACAAACAAGTCTGCATAATAACCAAACCAGCTAACAACATGATGACAGGAAAAAATCTGCACATGTAAATGCTAACTTTGAATGTAAATGGACTAATTGTCCTAATTAAAATGCAGAGAGTGGCAAGTTGGATAAAGAAGCAAGAGGCCAGGTGCAGTGGCTCACGCCTGTAACCCTGGCACTTTGGGAGGCTGAGGTGGGTGGATCATTTGAGGTCAGGAGTTCGACATTAGCCTGGCCAATGTGATGAAATCCCATCTCTAATAAAAAAAAAAAATAGCTGGGCGTGGTGGTACACACCTGTAATCCCAGCTATTTGGGAGGCTGAGGCAGGAGAATCATTTGAACCTGGGAGGCAGAAGTTGCAGTGAGTCAAGATCATACCACTGCACTCCAGCCTGGGTGACAGAGTGAGACTCCATCTCAAAAAAAAAAAAAAAAAAAAAAGCAAGACTCAACATTATGCTGCCTATAAGAAACCCATCTCATATGCAATGACATCCATAGGCTCAAAGTAAAGAAATGGAGAAAAATCTACCAAGCAAATGGAAAGCCAAAAAAAAAAAAAAATGCAGGAGCTGCTATTAAAATTTCAGACAAAACAGACTTTATACCAACAAAGATCAAAAAAGGCAAAGAAGGGCATTAAATCATGGTAAAGGGTTCAATTCAACATGAAGACCATAGCAGGACAGTGGCCACGGAAGTCGGAATCTGCTAAGGAGTGTGTAATAGCCCAACTGCTGAATCAAAAAGAAAAAGAAAAAAAAAATTAAAAAAAGAGCATGAAGACCTAACTATCCTAAATATATATGCACCTAACATGGAAGCACCCGGATTCATAAAGCGTGTTCTGAGAGACCAACGAAGAGACTTAGACAACCACACAATAATAGGGGGAGACTTTAACATCCCGCCGACAGTATTAGATCATTGAGGCAAACAGAGATATTCAGGACCTGAACTCAGCAGTGGATCAAATGGACCTGACAGACATCTACAGAACTCTCCACCCCCAAAACAACAGAATCTACATTGTTTTCATTGCCTCATGGCACATACTCTAAAGTCAATCATACAATCAGACATACAGCAATCCTTAGCAGGCTGGGCACGGTGGCTCACACCTGTAATCCCAGCACTTTGGGAAGCCAAGGCTGGCGGATCATGAGGTCAGGAGATCGAGACCATCCTGGCTAACGCAGTGAAACCCCGTCTTTACTAAAAATACAAAAAAAATTAGCCGGGCGGGGTGGCGGGCACCTGTAGTCTCAGCTACTCAGGAGGCTGAGGCAGGAGAATGGTGTGAACCTGGGAGGCGGAGCTTGCAGTGAGCCTAGATTGCGCCACTGCACTCCAGCCTGGGCGACAGAGCAAGACTCCATTTCAAAAAAAAAAAAAACAATCCTTAGCAAATCCAGAAAAGCGAAATCAGAGCACAGTGGAATAAAAATAGGAATAAATACTAAGAAAACCACTCAAAACTGTACAATGCATGGAAATTAAGCAGTCTGTTCTGGAATTTTTGGGTAAATATAGCAGAATCTCTGGGACACAGCTAAGGCAGTGTTAAGGGGGAAGTTTATAGCACTAAACTCCCACTTCAAAAAGCTAGAAAAAGTTCAAATTAACAACCTAACATCATAACAAGAGGAACTAAGAGAACCAAGAGGAAATCAACCCCAAAGCTCATAGGAAACAAGAAATAACCAAAATCAGAGCTGAGCTGAAGGAGATTGAGACACGAAAAAGCATTCAGAAGATCAGCAAATCGAGGAGTAGAATTTTTGAAAAAATTAGTAAGACAGATGACTAGTTAGACTAATAAAGAAGAAAAGAGAGATGATCCGGATAAACACAATTAGAAACAACAAAGGGTATATTACCACTCACCCCACAGAAATACAATCATCAGAGAATATTATGAACACCTCTATGCACACAAACTAGAAAATCCAGAATAAATGGAGAAATTCCTGGACACATACACCCTCCTGAGATCAAACCAAGAATAAATTGAATACATGAACAGACCAATAATGAGCTCCAAAATTGAATCAGTAATAAAAATCCTACAGACCAGAAAAAGCCCAGTACCAGACAGACTCACAGCTGAATCCCATCTGATATATAAAGAAGAGCTGGTACTATACCTACTGAAACGTTCCAAAAATATTCAGGAGGAGGAATGCCTCCCCAGCTCATTCTATGAGACCAGCATCATCTTGATGCAAAAACATGGCAGAGACACAACAAAACCAGAAAACTTCAGGACAATATCCTTGTTGAACATAAATGCAAAAATCCTCAACAAAATACTAGCAAACTATCCAGCAGCACATCAGAAAGCTAATCCACCACCATCAGGTAGGCTTTATTTCTGGGATGCAAGGTTGATTCGATATAGGAGTCTCGCTCTGTTGCCCAGGCTGGAGTGTAGTGGCGTGAACTTGGCTCACTGCAAGCTCCGCCTCCTGGATTCACGCCATTCTCCTGCCTGAGCCTCCCGAGCAGCTGGGACTACAGGTGCCCACCACCACGCCTGGCTAATTTTTTTGTGTTTTTTAGTATAGACGAGGTTTCACCGTGTTAGCCAGGATGGTGTCGATCTCCTGACCTCATGATCCACAAGCCTTGGCTTCCCAAAGTGCTGGGATTACAGGCATGAGCCACAGTGCCCGGCCAATATACACAAATCTTAAATATGATTCATCACATAAATAGAACAACCCTCCCCACACACATAATCCTCTCAATAGAGCTTTTGATAAAATTCAACATCCCTTTATGCTAAAAAACCTCGACAAACTAGGCATTGAAGAAACATATTTCAAAATAATAAGAATGATGTATGACAAACTCACAGTCAACATCATATTGAATGGGCAAAAGCTGGAAGTATTCCCCTTGAAAACTGGCAAAAGACATGGATGCCGTCTCTCACTACTTCTGTTCAACATAGTACTGGAGGTCCTAGCTAGAGCAATCAGGCAAGAGAGAAATAAAAGGCATCCAAATAGGAAGAAAGGAAGTCAAACTATCCCTGTTTGCAGGTGATATGATTCTATACCTAGAAAACCACAGTCTCTGCCCAAACACTTCTTAATCTGATAAACAACTTTAGCAAAGTTCCAGGATACAAAATCAATATATAAAAATCAGTAGCATTCCTATACACCAAAAACATCTAAGCTGAGAGCCAAATCAAGAATAGAATCCATTCACAATTACTGCAAAAAGAATAAAATACCTGGGAATACAGCTAACCAGGGAGGTGAAAGATCTCTGCAAGGAGAACTACAAAACACTGGTCAAAGAAATCATAGATGACACAAACAAATGGAAAAACATTCCATGCTCATGGATAGGAAGAATGAGTATTGTTCAACACACAAATAATTCAGGCTTTAGAAGGAGCTGGAAGAGAGAAGACATGGATGGACGTGGGGCTCACACCCATTAGGAGGCTAAGGCAGTAGTAGTTGGGGTGGCAGAATATTCAGTAGTACACTAAGACTGCCTCATGCTTAGTACTGCAGTAGTACTACAGAATGCTAGAGTGTTCAGTAGGGTTAGACTATGGCAGCATCCTTTTAAATGAAGTGACGGGAGGAAGTGGGTTGCTAAAACAAAATAGAATCAGCATAAGGAAGGATATTGGGCAGATGACTCCTGACTTCCTCATTCTTGCAGTTTGAGCATTCAGTAAATTACAGATCCTTCATGGACAGTCTAACACAGGCAAGGACTAACTATAAATCCAGGCCTGAGCATTAATGAGTCTGAAGGGTTTGGAGATAACAAAGTGAGATAGAAATTATGCAAGAGAAGCACAGCAGAAACAACTAGAATGGGGATTAAAATAAGAATGGTGCTTCAGGCTATTCTTCAATTTCTTTATCCTAGAGCTCCCAAGAGGGTCTAAAGGGGCTGGGAGAGATTTACAGGACACTTACCTTCCTGTGCCTGAATCCTCTGGCCCAGACAGAGCACTGGAAGAGAGAGATTTATGAAAAATCAAGCTTCCATTTCCAACCTTTACGACAAATCACCCTCTGTAATGACAGACCAGAAAAAGACCAGTACCAGATGGATTCACAGCTCAATCCCACCAGATATATAAAGAAGAGCTGGCATTTTTTTTTTTTTTTGAGACAGAGTCTCGCTGTGTCGCCCAAGCTGGAGTGCAGTGGCATGATCTTGGCTCACTGCAAGCTCTGCCTCCCAGGTTCATGCCATTCTCCTGCCTCAGCCGCACGAGTAGCTGGGACTACAGGCGCCCGCCACCACGCCTGGCTAATTTTTTTGTATTTTTAGTAGAGACAGGGTTTCACCATGTTGGCCAGGATGGTTTTGATCTCCTGACCTTGTGATCCGCCTGCCTTGGCCTCCCAAAGTGCTGGGATTGCAGGTGTGAGCCACTGCGCCCGGCCAAGAAGAGCTAGTATTATTCCTACTGAAACTATTGAAAAAAATCCTGGAGGAGGGACTCCTCCCCAACTCATTCTATGAGGCCAACATTATCCTGATAACAAAATGTGGCAGAGATACAACAAAAACAGAAAACTTCTGGATAATATCTTTGTTGAACATAAATGCAAAAATCTTCAACAAAATACTAGTAACCATATTTCTATATGGGGTTCTATCATATGTTTTCCTTCCACAACAATCACAGTTTTGAGGTTCATTCTTTATTTTTACCTTTCAGATTCCAGCCTCTAAGTCTCTCCTTGATAAGAACCTTGGGACCATCATGAATCCCAGATAACACACTATAGGTTTAATACAAATATTAAACCTTGAGCCCCACAAGCTAGCTTGGGCTTGGGTAGAGACAAAGTTATAGATACATTGACAAAGACGGCCTTTCCACTAAGGAGATCAGAATCTCCTTGGCAGCCACTAAAATCTCCTAGTCACACTGTTAAGAGACACCCTGATTATTTTGGGATTTCTCTATCTTCCCCTCTAACCCACTTTTACTCTGAAACTCACCAAGACACAGGAGGGTGGTCTGTTTGGGGTCCATCGTGCTGACACGGCCTCAGCCCCGTTGCTCTCCTTTCAATGCACATTAGCAGGATGACAGATATTCTTACGACAATAAGCTCCGCAGGAAGTATGAGGACAGAGCCCCTCGTCAGGGAATTTCCACATCTATTGCCTCACAACAAAGTGGAACAGTTCGTTGCCGAATAACTTAGTTCCAGGTTGCTCTTGGGTGGAGCCCAAGAGAAGACATATATATGTATATTTTTTTAAATAGAGATGGGGTCTTTCTATGTTGGCCAGGGTAGTCTCTAACTTCTGGCATCAAGAAATCCTCCTGCCTAAGACCTATATTTCTATTTATGTTTCAGATGAGAAACGAATGAGAAGTGAATTTTCATTAAGCCAGTGTCTAATGGTGTTCAAATTCATCTTTGAACCAGATGCTACATCCAAATAGACGGGCTTGGGACAGAATATAAGGTGGTGGATACCATACAGGCAGACATTGCCTTCACTGGGCCATTAGTCAAAAGCTCTGTGGCTTTGTCTGTTCTGAACCTATGTTTCATCTCTGAGATTCATGGTCTGAGTATATTTACTTGGACTTGACCAGGCATGCAGTATACCCTTATCCTGGAGATGATCTCAATGCCAGAGTGTGGAGGCATTTTCTCTGGCACTATTTGTCATCTCTAAAGAAAGAATCTACTATTTTATTATACTTTTTTGTTTATTTGTATAAATTTAAGGAGCGCAAGTGAAATTTTATTACGTGGATATTTTGTGTAGTGGTGAAGTCTGGGCTTTTAATATAATTATCCTCAAATAATGTACATTGTTGCTCATTGAGTATTTTTTTAACTTTTATTTTAGGTTCAAGGGTACATGGGAAGGTTTGTTATACAGGTAAACTTGTGTCATGGGGGTTTGTTGTACAGATTATTTCATCACCTAGGTAATAAGCTTGGTACCTAATAGTTACTTTGCCTGCTCCTTTCCCGCCTCCCACCCTCCACCCTAAAGGAGACCCCATTGTCTGTTTTTCCCTTTTTTGTGTTCATGAGTTCTATTATTTAGCTTCCACTTATAAGTGAGAACCTGCTGTATTTGGTGTTCTGTTCTTGTATAGTTTGCTAAGGATAATGGCCTCCAGCTCCATCCATGTTTCCACAAAACATATGAACTCATTCTTTTTTTATGGCTTCAAATTAATTTTATTTTTATCTTATTATTTATGTTATTTTGATTGTAGACTCCTGGCTATCACGAATTCTTCAGGTATGGAGAGTGAAATATTCCTAATTAAACCTTCTACTATTTTATTTTATTTTATTTATTCTTTTTTTTTTTTTGAGACGGAGTCTTGCTCTGTCGCCCAGGCTGGAGTGCAGTGGCGTGATCTCAGCTCACTGCAAGCTCCACTTCCTGGGTTCATGCTATTCTCCTGCCTCAGCCTCCCGAGTAGCTGGGACTACAGGCATCCGCCACCACGCCCGGCTAATTTTTTTTGTATTTTCAGTAGAAACGGGGTTTCACCGTGTTAGCCAGGATGGTCTCGATCTCCTGACCTCGTGATCCACCCACTTCGGTCCCCCAAAGTGCTGGGATTACAGGCGTGAGCCACCGCGCCCCACTTTATTTTCATTTTAATACATCATAACTTAGCCCTTCCAACGCCGAAGTATTTTGAAGTCCTGAGCTTGTCCCATATTTCAGAAAGCCGATCAGCTTCCATGTTGACTGTTTCATTTGTGCAAATTTAAGTGACCTTTTGTTTTGCCACATTTTGTTAATTTCCACATACATATTTACGTTCGGGAAATTTGGAAATACTACGTTCTGGAAATTTGGTGTTGATGATTGCATGAAATTGACCGCATTCTAATTTTCTTTTTTTGTTGTTTTGTTACTTATGCCTTATTTATTCATTCCTTTGTTCTCACTTGAATGGGACTTTGGGTGAAAGACAAATAATGGCTGTACTCTTAGTTGAGTATTTAAAATGCAGAGATTGTAAAGGCAGGATGACCTAATTAAAAATACTATTGTTGGCTGGGTGCAGTAGCTCATGCCTGTAATCCCAGCACTTTGGGAGGCCAAGGCAGGTGAATCACTTGAGTTCAGGAATTTAAGACCAGCCTGGTCAATGTGGTGAAACCCAGTCTCTACTAAAAATATAAAAAATTACTTGGGTGTGGTGGCGGGTGCCTGTAATTCCAGCTACTCGGAAGGCTGAGGCAGGAGAGCCACTTGAACCCAGGAGGCAGAGGTTGCAGTGAGCCAAGATCACTGCACTCCAGCCTGGGCAACACAGAGCGAGACTGTGTCTCAAAAAAACAAAAGCTATTGTTATGGTTTACAAATGACGTGGCTTTCTATTGGGAGAGAGATACTTACTAATTGTTGAATTTCAGGAACTTCAGTGGCCAATATTTACTAATGGGCTGGAACAGATTTTGTCAACTTACCACAACATTTGGTGTGGTTTTGTTCTTTTGTTTCCTCCTTTTGTGGAACAGGAATGGTAACGTAGCCATGGGGTGCTGAGATATTTGGTTAAACATTATTCTGTGTGTGTCTGTGGGGGTGTTGCTGAATGAGATTATCAATGGAATTAGTGTAATTTATAAAGCAGATTGCTCTCCCTAATGTGAGTCGGCCTCATTCAATCAGGTGGGACCTGAATAGAACAAAACATTGAACTGGTAATGTAAGATGAAGTTCCTTTTGCCTGGACATCAGTCTTTTCTGGCTCTTGAACTCTCACTAAAACATTGACTCTTTAGATGTTAAGCCTGCCAGCTTTTTTTGTTTGTTTGTTTTTTTGAGATAGAGTCTCACTCTGTCACCCAGGCTGGAGTGCTGTGGCATGATCTCGGCTCACTGCAACCTTCACCTCTTGGGTTCAAGCAATTCTCGTACCTCAGCCTCTGAGTAGCTGGGATTACAAGCGAATGCCACTATGCCCGGCTAATTTTTGTATTTTTAGTAAAGATGGGGTTTCACCATGTTGGCCGGGCTGGTCTTGAACTCTGACCTCAGGTGATCTGCCTGCCTTGGTCTCCCAAAGTGTTGGGATTACAGGCGTGAGCCATCATGCCCGGCATGAGCCTGCTAGCTTTTGGACTGTTACGTATACCACTAACTCTACTGGTTCTCAGACTTTTGCACGTAGACTGGAACTACACGTGGACTCCCCTGGGTCTCCAGCTTGCAGATGGCAGATCATGGGACCTGTCAGTCTACATAGTTGCATAAGCCAATATATAAATACCCTATCTGTGTATCAATCATTATATATCTGTCATTATCCAACTATATGTCTATCATTATTTGTGATATCATTATATATCTATCATTATTTGTCTATCAATCATTATCTATATATCTATCATTATTAGTGTTGATTATTTTTTTTTCTGGAGAACCCTGACTACTATAGCTTCCATGTTCCTGTCTCAACTGTCACCAGTCCCCTTAGCACAGGGCCTATCATAGCCATTCTACGGCCCAAGGAATTACAAGCCACATAACTACAGGAGTCACAGTGACCCAAGGATTTAGACGGAGACACGGAAGAATTGAGGCATCTATTGGTCTCTGCATATTTTGGGATTTGGGATTTCCCAGCAGGGAAATTTGCCTTGAATCTGTCTAACTGGTCACTAAGAGTTGATTGGTAGGTTCCATTCTCCGTGCACAGCATAAACCCTAATAAGCCCAAACTGACTGGCAGTGGAGACTCTCAACCCTCAATGGGACCAAACTGTGACTGGCAGTGGAGACTCTCAACCCTCAATGGGACCAAACTGTGACTGGCAGTGGGGACCTTCAACCCTCAGTGGGACCGAACTGTGACTGGCAGTGGGGACCTTCAACTCTCAGTGGGACTTTACAGCACTCAGCTGCACCTGTGTGGAGAATTTGTCTCAAACACCTAAGAAGGAAGGAGGCCTTTGTTTCGAGGAAGAAGAAGGGGAGCTGCTTCTCTATCCACTGACCTCAGAGGTACCGGAGAGTGTCCAGTGAGGGCCTTAACTCTCTGCAGTATTTTTTTTTTTTTTGAGATGGAGTCTCACCCTGTCGCCCAGGCTGGAGTGCAATGGCAGGATCTCGGCTCACTGCAACCTCTGCCTCCCCAGTTCAAACGATTCTCCTGTCTCAGCCTCCTGAGTATCTCAGATTTACAGGCACCTGCCACCATGCCCAGCTATTTTTTGTATTTTTAGTAGAGACAGAGTTTCACCATGTTGGCCAGGCTGATCTCGAACTCCTGACCTCGTGATCTGCCCACCTCCGCCTCCCAAAGTGCTGGGATTATAGGCGTGAGCCACTGCACCCAGCCACTCTCTGCAGTTTTAAAGGCCATTTCCATGAATTAGAGTATACTTAGGCACTGAGGTAAGCATGGCACAGCTTTCTGAAAATAAAGTTGAAACTTAGAGGTTTCTTTTAGCTTTATTGAGATATGATTGACAAATGGAAATTGTATATATTTAAGGTGTATTACACTTGATGTTTTGATGTATGTATACATGGTGACATGATCATCATAGTCAAGCTAGTTATATCCATCATCTCGCAGGGTTATTGTTTTTTTTTTTTTTTTTTTTTTGAGAGGAAGTCTTACTCTGTCCCCCAGGCTAGAGTGCAGTGGTGCCATCTTGGCTCACTGCAACCTCCGCTCCCAGGTTCCAGCAATTCTCGTGCCTCAGCCTCCTGAGTAGCTGGGATTACAGGCTTGTGTCACCACGCCTGGCTAATGTTTGCATTTTTAGTAGAGACAGGGTTTCACCATGTTGGCCATGCTGGTCTTGAACTCCTGACCTCAAGTGATCTGCCCGTCTTGGCCTCCCAAAGTGCTGGGATTACAGGCGTGAGCCACCGCGCCCGGCCTATGGTTTCTTTTTCTTTCTTTCTTTTTTTTTTTTTTGTGGTGAGGACCCTTAAGATCTACTCTCCCAGCCGGGCGTGGTGGCTCATGCCTGTAATCCCAGTACTTTGGGAGGCCGAGGCAGGCGGATCACGAGGTCAGGAGATCGAGACCATCCTGGCTAACACAGTGAAACCCCGTCTCTACTAAAAATACAAAAAATTAGCAGGGCGTGGTGGCGGGCGCCTGTAGTCCCAGCTACTCGGGAGGCTGAGGCAGGAGAATGGCGTGAACCCAGGAGGCGGAGCTTGCGGTGAGCCGAGATCGCGCCACTGCACTCCAGCCTGGGTGACAGAGCAAGACTCCAGCTCAAAAAAAAAAAAAAAAAAAAAATCTACTCTCCCATGCTTGCCTCGGCAGCACATATACTAAAATTGGAACGATACAGAGAAAACTAGCATGGCCCCTGCGCAAGAATGACACGCAAATTCGTGAAGTGTTCCATATTTAAAAAAAAAAATCTACTTTCCTGGTAAATTTCAAGTATAGAGTACAGTATTGTCAACCATAGTGGCAAAGCTGTACAAGAGATCTTCAGACCCATTCCTCCTGAATACCTGATAGTTTGTATCCTTTGATCAACATCTCCCAATTCCCTCCCCCACACTGTCCCTGTAGTTCTAGTGAGTTTCCCAGACTCTGATGTCTCAATTTCATTCAGTCACTTTCCTCCAGATACATCTACCCATTCCTACTGCATCTTAGTATCCTGAGCCTTGGGGGCAGTTTCTGTGCCAAGTGGAAATGTGGAAATGAGATATTACGAAGAAAAATCTTTGCCCACCTAGACAGGGATCTGATGTTTTCCAAGATGACACATGATTACATGTTGAAATGATAATATTTTGAGTCTACTTGTATAATAAAATAATATTTTGGATCTATTAGGTTAATATTTTGGGTCTGTTGGGTTAATAATATTTTGGGTCCATTGGGTTAACTTAAATTAATTTTATCTGTTTCTTGTTAGCTTTTTAATTTGGATACTAGCAAGTTTGAAAGAATGCATGTGGTTTGCATTATGTTTCTATAGGACAGAACTTACCTGTAGATGTAAGGGAGTCACAACAAAATTACAAGCATTGTTTTTGGTGGAAATGAGAAAAATGATTACAAATTTACATGGAAAAGCAAATAGCCAATAATAATAATAATGGCAATCTTAAAGAGGAAGGAGAAATTAGAGGATTCAGGCTGCCAAATTTTAAGGGGTTCTATAAGGCCACATAAAGTGCAGCATCCTCATGAGAGTGGACACAGAGAGCCACTGAGCAGAAAAGAGTGTGTAAAATACATCTGTGTACACACAGTCCTTTTATAGTTGACAGAGGCTGCCATGCGGATTAAGGTGGAATAGAATGTCTTCTCAGTAAATAACATTGGACCAGAGGGTTACAAGCAGGAAAAAATAAATCTAAGCTTATTTTCACACCATAAAAACACTGCTAATTTTTTATCTTATTATCATACATTTTGATGATTTATTTATAAAATTGATGAATGAAAATTATATACAGTTGTCCTTCACTATTCATGGGTGATTGGTTCCAGGAAACCCCCCTCCCTACCAGACACCAAAATCTGCAGATGCTCAAGCCTGTTGCATGAAATGGCACAGCGTTTGCATATAACCCATGCACATCCTCCTGTATACATGAAATCATCTCTAGATTACTTATAATTCCTGATACAGCCTACACACCACCTCACTTGTGTCCACACAATATAGTATTTTTGCTTTTTGGAACTTTGTGGATTTTTTCTCTGAATATTTTTGATTTATATTTGGTTCAATAAACACCTGTAAACCCCACAGATATGGAGGAGCGACTGTATATTTATAGTATGAAAGATGATGTGTTGACATGTGTCCCTGTGGAGATGAGACTAACAAGGCCTATGACTCTACAAATGTTTCATCTTGGAATGACTCTGCCAGCTTTCCAGGTCTGCAGAGAGTAAGAATATCACTTGTTCATGTGATTCACGATCCTTGGAACCTCCTATGTGCTGCATCTTTGGATGGAAATTGGAGTCCCAGAGACAAATGAGGCTCCACCCTGCTTCCAGAAGCTCAGAGTCCAGGGCTGAGAACCCAGTAGAGAACATATCAGGTTATATGGACATAGTAATGATAACACTGGAAACTTTTGGCGAATAAAGAGTCACATTATCGAAACCATGAGGGCAGACATGTTTATTTGAAGAGGAGAGAGCTACACTGAAGTTATAAAAAAAATTTATAAATTTTACTGATGACAGAAGGCTGAAAGATAGTCTGAGGGGAGGTGGAACAGCATGAGGGAAGGTGGAACAGCAAGTGTGTAAGTGCCGTGTTAAGAGGGAGCCTCTTGTATGTTTGGAATTGTGAGTTCCTCAGTGTGATTGCAGCCTCAAGTAGGACTAGGAAGTAAGCCAGTTAGGTTGGAGAGGTGGGCAGGGGTCAAGTGAAATAGATACTTGTGGGCTAAGCAAAGGAGTGTGTTTTCTCTGCAGCAGGCAGTGGCGACCTTAGGCATTTGTAAGCAAGAGAGAGGCATGTTCAGATTCGTGGTGTGAGGAAGAGCGATCCCCTAAGATGCAGACTGATGCCTTCAGATTCCAGCTGCTGGTTCATTGGATCTGGCAACCTGGTTTTGAGACAGGGCTGTTGTCTCCCTAGAAAACCCCCTCAAGACCTGACTGTGGTGCTCGTGGGCAGGAGACAACTTTGGATCTGGGCTCAGCATTTGGAAGTTCCGTGTACACGCTGGTATCTGTTAGGGGTGTCTTGGGCCTCTGAGAAGGGCGACTGATTTTTCTCTGTATGAAAACGCAGTGATCCAACTGTGCGTACGTCACCTCCTGAGGGTCTTGTTCATCAGAGTCCTGGAGAGAGGGAAATGCTGAGTGAGGGAGGGTGCTCACATTTTTCAGGACTATTAGGGATAAGACTGTATCCGTGAGGCTGGGCCGAGGAGGACCTACCTGCCTATTCACTGTTCTGTCCCCCGCAGGCTCTTGGTCCATTACAGCAGCATCTGTAGGAGACGGAAGTCATCAAAACCGCTTGGAGGGCCCTTCTGGGTCCTCATTTCATGGGCAGACACCAACCCACAGGGGGAGGCTGTAGGTGCCTGAGGCTCTTCAGCTGCCAACATCCAGACTCAGACATTCTATCTCTCTGAGTTCAAGACCCCATCCCATGAAGTGCTCTCAATTGGCATCCCATTGATTCTGTCTCCCACTTTCTGCCTGTCATGGAAGCTTCTGGATGTCAGTGGCTGCAGGGGATGTGAGGATACAGTTCAGAACCAGGCAATGGTCTGTGAGCTGAAGGCAGGGGCAGGTTGTCTGGTGCTCTCTCTAGAAAGCCCTGCCTCTGTGGCTCCTCCCTTGGGCCAGGGACCATCCTGCCAGTGAGGAACACACACCCGCGTGCTCCCATCCTGCTTCCCCACATGGCCCTGAGCTCTCTGGCCTCTGCTTCGTGAGACTTACTCTTTTTGTTGGAGCACCAGCGATAAAGGAGAAAGAAGAGGAGGAGGATGAAGAGGAAGATGACCACTGAGGTCCCAATCAGAACATGCAGGTGTCTGCAGATACCTGGAGGAAGATGGGAATCCAATAAGAAGCTAATCATAGCAGTTCCTCTTTATGGATTGTCTCATTTCTTGATTGACAGGTAACCACATGGAACATCTCCTTAGGACAAGCAGCCTGATGGCGGGAGACCCAGCTTTCTCCTGCTTTCTCAGTTACAGCTCTCATAGAAACCATAGAACATGCTGAGGATACAGCTGCTTTAGTTTAGATGTTTGACCCTTTGAAACCTCACACTGAAATATTGAAATTTAACCCCCAGTGTGGAAGTTTGGGCCTATGGGAAGGTGTTTGAGTCATGGAGGTGGATCCATCATGAATAGATTAATGCTGCCCCACATGATGGGGTTAGCAAGTTCCCCCTCTATTAGTTCCCGGAGGGCTGGTTGTTAAAAAGAGCTTGGAAGCTCCATCGCTCGCCCTCCCCCTTGCTCCCTCTCTTGCCATGTGATCTCTGTGGTCTCTGCACAGACAGACCCTCCTTCCCTTCTGCCAGAGTGGGAGCAGCCTGAGGCCGTCACAGGAAACAGATGCTGGTGCCATGCTTCCAGTACAGCCTGCAGAACTGTGAGGCAAACAAATCTGTTTTCTCTAGAAGTTGCCCAGGCTCTGGGATGCAAGGCTGGTTCAATATATGCAAATCAATAAATGTAATCCATCATATAAACAGAACCAAAGACAAAAACCGGACGACTATCTCAATAGATGCAGAAAAGGCCTTTGACAAAATTCAACAACGCTTCATGCTAAAAACTCTCAATAAATTAGGCATTGATGGGACGTATCTCAAAATAATAAGAGCCATCTATAACAAACCCACAGCCAGTATCATACTGAATGGGCAAAAACTGGAAGCATTCCCTTTGAAAACTGGCACAAGACAGGGATGCCCTCTTTCACCACTCCTATTCAACATAGTGTTGGAAGTTCTGGCCAGGGCAATTAGGCAGGAGAAGGAAATAAAGGGTATTCAATTAGGAAAAGAGGAAGTCAAATTGTCCCTGTTTGCAGATGACATGATTGTATATATAGAAAACCCCATTGTCTCAGCCCAAAATCTCCTTAAGCTGATAAGCAGCCTCTACAAAGTCTCAGGATACAGAATCAATGTACAAAAATCACAAGCATTCTTATACACCAATAACAGACAAACAGAGAGCCAAATCATGAGTGAACTCCCATTCACAATTGCTTCAAAGAGAATAAAATACCTAGGAATCCAACTTACAAGGGATATGAAGGACCTCTTCAAGGAGAACTACAAACCACTGCTCAATGAAATAAAAGAGGATACAAACAAATGGAAGAACATTCCATGCTCATGGGTAGGAAGAATCAAGATCGTGAAAATGGCCATACTGCCCAAGGTAATTTATAGATTCAATGCCATCCCCATCAAGCTACCAATGACTTTCTTCACAGAATTGGAAAAAACTACCTTAAAGTTCATATGGAATCAAAAAAGAGCCTGCATTGCCAAGTCAATCCTAAGCCAAAAGAACAAAGCTGGAGGCATCATGCTGCCTGACTTCAAACTATACTACAAGGCTACAGTAACCAAAACAGCATGGTACTGGTACCAAAACAGAGATATAGATCAATGGAACAGAATAGAGCCCTCAGAAATAATGCCACATATCTACAACTATGTGATCTTTGACAAACCTGAGAAAAACAAGCAATGGGGAAAGGATTCCCTATTTAATAAATGGTGCTGGGAAAACTGGCTAGCCATAGGTAGAAAGCTGAAACTGGATCCCTTCCTTACACCTTATACAAAAATTAATTTGAGATGGATTAAAGACTTAAACGTTAGACCTAAAACCATAAAAACCCTAGAAGAAAACCTAGGCATTACCATTCAGGACATAGGCATGGACAAGGACTTCATGTCTAAAACACCAAAAGCAACGGCAACAAAAGCCAAAATTGACAAACGGGATCTAATTAAACTAAAGAGCTTCTGCACAGCAAAAGAAACTACCATCAGAGTGAACAGACAACCTACAAAATGGGAGAAAATTTTCGCAACCTACTCATCTGACAAAGGGCTAATATCCAGAATCTACAATGAACTCAAACAAATTTACAAGAAAAAAACAAACAATCCTATCAAAAAGTGGGCAAAGGACATGAACAGACACTTCTCAAAAGAAGACATTTATGCAGCCAAAAAACACATGAAAAAATGCTCACCATGACTGGCCATCAGAGAAATGCAAATCAAAACCACAATGAGATACCATCTCACACCAGTTAGAATGGCGATCATTAAAAAGTCGGGAAACAACAGGTGCTGGAGAGGATGTGGAGAAATAGGAACACTTTTACACTGTTGGTGGGACTGTAAACTAGTTCAACCATTGTGGAAGTCAGTGTGGCGATTCCTCAGGGATCTAGAGCTTGAAATACCATTTGACCCAGCCATCCCATTACTGGGTATAAACCCAAAGGACTATAAATCATGCTGCTATAAAGACACATGGACACGTATGTTTATTGTGGCACTATTCACAATAGCAAAGACTTGGAACCAACCCAAATGTCCAACAATGATAGACTGGATGAAGAAAATGTGGCACATATACACCATGGAATACTATGCAGCCATAAAAAATGATGAGTTCATGTCCTTTGCAGGGACATGGATGAAATTGGAAATCATCATTCTCAGTAGACTATCACAAGGACAAAAATCCAAACACCGCATGTTCTCACTTATAGGTGGGAATTGAACAATGAGAACACATGGACACAGGAAGGGGAACATCACACTCTGGGGACTGTTGTGGGGTGGGGGGAGGGGGGAGGGATAGCATTAGGAGATATACCTAATGCTAAATGACGAGTTGATGGGTGCAGCACACCAGCATGGCACATGTATACATATGTAACTAACCTGCACATTGTGCACATGTACCCTAAAACTTAAAGTATAATAATAATAAAAATTTTAAAAAAAAGCTCATCAGAAGCACTATACAAAAAAAAAAAAAAAAAAAAAGAAGTAACCCAGGCTCAAGTGTTCTTTTATAGCAACAAAAATGGACTAAGACAGCAACGTCCTGAGATCAGGAGGAACGTCTCAGAACAGCCTGTGCTGTCTTCCTGTTCTTCCTGGAGGAGGACGTCATGCAGTGCTTTAGCTGAGTGCTTCCTGTGGCTTCAGGGTACAAAACCCAGGCTGGGCTATTTTCTGGCTTCCCCCAGATACACTGCAAATGAGGTGACTCCATATGTCCCGAGCAGCTTTTCTGAGCCTTGAGGGACTGGCTCACGTTGAAATGTAGGCTTCTGTTGTCACTCGCTGCTTATCTGTTAGTAATGAACCTGCCTATGTAACGTATTCTCTGTGTGTTCTGTCTCCCTGGAGTGACGGTGAGTGATAGAAATTGGCATAGGCCCAGGTGCAGTACAGCAGGTGTTTAGAGTCTTCTCTGGAAAGACTGGACTGGGATTGATACACAGTGAATGTGCTTTACAGTTTCTACATCCACAACCCTCTTGACTCAAATTACATTCTCCAAGAAAAGGACACAAAAGTGAAATCAAGATCAAAAAAGCAAAGTAGAATTCTCTTATGTCAAACAGCCAGGAAATAATGATGAAGCCCATGTGAAACGTGCTACTCTTTGTGATCTCGCGAGACACATGTTAGGCTGCTGTTCCACCTGAGAGGCTGGGGGAAAGACCACCCCCTCCACCATCTATTGCTTCAAAACCACCTGTCCTCCTGTGAATTAGTAGGAAAGGGGAGCAGGAGCTAGTGCTGGTGCTGATCTCTGATTCCAAGATCTGAACTCACTCCAAGGAGTATTAGCGTTTACCTCCCCATGATCTATCTGTATCTCCACAGGTGATTGGAAGTAGGGGTGAGGTGGGGGATTTGGGTGAGGGGGAAAGTTTCTTGTGATGAACAGAGCACTTTCCCTATTTCAGGGCCTGTGCTGGTGGGTTCAGGGGGCTTTCATATTTTCCATATGATCTCATGTTCACAGAAAGCCAAATATGGAAGAGGTTTTAGGCTGATTTTCTAATGGATAAGATAAAGGATCAAAGAAGTAATTATAGAGGAATAGAAAAATGATGATTGGAATTCAGGTGCCTGCATCATTTGTGTATATTATTATATTTATGTATTTTTTATTTTTATTTTTTGAGACAGAGTATCCCTGTGTAGCCCAGGCTGGTGTGCAGTGATGCGATCTCCACTCACTGCAACCTCTGCCTCCAGGGCTGAAGTCATTCTCCTGCTTCCTCCTCCAGAGTAGCTGGGATTACAGTCATGCACCACCATCATGCCTGTTTAATTTTTGTATTTTTAGTAGAGATAGGGTTTCTCCATGTTGGCCAGGCTGGTCTCGAACTCCTGACTTCATGTGATCCACCCGCGTTGGCCTCCTGAAGTGCTGGGTTACAGGCGTGAGCCACCGTTCACAGCCTTGTATATTATGCTATACTAGGTCCCTTCATTTGCACCACCCCTCATCTAGCTCTCCCTCCTCTGCCAGGTATTGATTTAGATGCAGGAGAAATAAATCTCAGAAATAAGTTAGTGAAGCGAGGATTAAACTACCAGGAAAAATTAAACCCAGCAAGCCTTTCCAGCCAATGATTCTACCTCACAAACATATCTTATATCCATCTACTTCATTCATTTAGTGTCTAAATCAGCACCACATTTCACCAGTGGGGCGGCAATTGCCTTTTCCACGGTCTCCTAGATTCCAGTTATGCAACTGAGCCTCCCTTATTTTCATGTCAGTCATATTAATCATGTAGGGATTCCTGGTTACCTCGAGGTGAATCCAATGGCTGTGAGTGTCAAACACACGCTCCTTGTTGCTCCTTAGTTTCCTGTGTACCCAGTGTGCTCTCCGTCTCTCTACAGTCATCTTGTCATTCTCCCCACCTCATTCCCAGCATTTCAGGCAGAGCCTCTTCCTTCCACATCAGATTGTTTTCACCTTTGTGCCTTCACGGCTGACAGCTGTGTGTGCAAAATCCTTCCGCCAATCTTTCAGGGGTTCAATCCGTGTTTTTCATTAATGTCACAAATATCTGATTAGTGAGAACTTCTCTGTCACCTGAAATAATACACTCAGCATTATCTATTATTGATTTGAAAATTTGGCTTGGCCCCGTGGCTCATGCCTCTTATCCCAGCGTGTTGGGAGGCAGAGGCTATTGGATCACCTGAGGTTGGGAATTTGAGACCAGCCTGGCCAACATGGTGAAACATCCTCTCTACAGAAAATATGCAAAAAGAGTTAGCCGGGCGTGGTGGTTGTGGTCTGTAATCCCAGCTACTGGAGAGGCTGAGGGAGGAGATCAGTTCAGCCCAGGAGGTGGAGGTTGCAGTGAGCCGAGATCATGCCACCGCACTCTAGCCTGGACGACAGAGCAAGGCTCCGTCTCAATAAACAAGTAGGTAAATACATAAATAAATAGATTTCATGCACAGATGCTTCTCAATAGATCATTCATTTATTGGTCCCCTTGTGCCTACATTTTCTGCCCTCCCATTTAACCATCTGCAAGATCAGTGTCCCAAGAACAGAGGCCAAATGCATCTTGTTCACTGTTTGTGGAAGGCAGGAGAATGTTGTCCCACCCCAAAAATGTCCATGTCCTAGCCTCCATAGCTTGTGAATATGTTATTTTACATGAAAGGAGGAATGAAGATTGCAGATGGAATTATGGTTGCTAGTCAGCTGAACTTAAAAGGAGGGTATCCTGGATGATTTCCGGGAGATTATGATGGATTTTCATCTTGGTGAACCCAATAGAATCCCCAAGTTTTCAAAAGAAGGGCAAGAAGGGAGAGCAGCATTCAGAGAAAGAGGTGTGGTAAGGAAGAAGGGTCTGAGTGATGCCATGTGAGATGTGACCAGTCTTTGTGGGCTTTGAGGAAGGAGGAAGGGTACCAGGAGCCAAGGAACATGGGAGCCTCTAGAAGCTGAGAAAAGTGAGAAGCAGATTCTTGCCTGGAACCCTCAGAGGGAAGGCAGCCTTGCTGTCACCTTGATTTTAGCCCAGTGACATGCACGTCATGCTTTGAGCTACAGCACTGTAAGATAATTAAATAACCGTTTTGTTTTCACACACGAATCTTGTGGAAATTTGTTATGGCAACAATAGGAAAAGCTTCCACACTGCACAGCCTGAGCATGGGGCTGTGGCTGAATGAGTCACTGAGTCGAAGTGTGCGTGCATGAGCTCTGTTCTCTGTTACGGCAAGGCTCTTGCTCTGCTGAGTCAGCCAGGGTTGCCTGATGACCAACAGTAATTCATTCCTTGGCAAGTGGAACTTCTCTAAAACACCCACCCTCATCAGATGTTCCCTTCCCTTCCCTCTCTCAAGCCCCCGGGAATTTATCCTCCAGTTAGGAATGCAGGCAGAAAAAACACTGCATTTTTCCTGAGAAGGATGTCAGATTGGCAATTATTCTTCTAGCTTGTAGGAGGTCTCACCTGCAGGAAATTAAAGGTAAAGAGACTTCGCTGAGCCCTTTGGTGGCCCTAGATCCCTTTCACTGTTGGAGTGTCTGGAGTTCAGAGATGGTGGAAGACAGGCCCTCATTCACAGAGCTGGGAGGTTTGAGCCAACACTTGCATCCAAGGCTTCCACCTCCCCAGGTTTCCAAAAGCAGAGATAAGAGGGGTCCTTTACTCACCAGATTTGGAGCTTGGTTCTGTGGGTGAAGGCCAACTACTTGAAGGGTTTCCTAGAACACGGGACAGGAGAGATGTGAGGAAATGAGGGTGCTTGTCCTCTACTCAATGGAAATCTTTGAGGTTGGTTCATGGCCAACACTCTGTTATCTAATGTTGGACCCTGGGAGTCTTGGGATCCTTTTCTCCATAATTTTTGTGTGCGATGCCCACTGTCTTGAGACTTGAAGGTATAAAGAGAAAACAGGAGCATCACACTACCTGACTTAGAAATATGTTACAGAGCTGTAGTAAGCAAAACAGCATGACATTGGCATAAAGAAAGGCACATAAAAAATGGAACAGAATGGAGAACACAGATATAATCCATGCATTTACATCCAATGGCTTTCTTTTGTGTGTGTGTGATAGAATCTTGCTCTGTCATGCAGGCTGGAGTGTAGAGGTGCAATCTCAGCTCAATGCAACCTCCACTTCCTGGATTCAAGAAATTCTCTTGCTTCAAACTCCTGAGTAGTGGTATTACAGGCACTGATCACCATGCTCAGCTAATTTTTGTATTTTTAGTAGAGACGAGGTTTCACTCTGTTGGCCAGCCTGGTCTTGAACTCCTGGCTTTAGGTGATCCACCCGCCTCGGCCTCCCAAAGTGCTGGAATTGCAGGTGTGAGCCACCATACCCAGCCCATTTAATGGACTTTGACAAAGGTGCCGAGAACTTACAATCAGGAAAGGACAGTCTTCAATAAATGGTGTGGGGAAAACTGGATATCTACATGCAGAGGAATAAAACTGCATCTATACCTGTCACCTTACACAAAAATCAAATGAAAATGGATTAAAAACATGAGTCTAAGGCCTGAACCTATGAAACATGTAGAAGAAAATAATGGGGAAGACATTTGTCTGACAAAAGACATTTTGTTTAAAACCTTCAAAACACAAGTAATCAAAGCAAAAAATAGACCATTAGGATTACATCAAACCAAGCAACTTCTGCACCACCAAAGATAAACCAACAAAGTGAAGAGACAACCCACAAAATAGGAGCAAATATTTGCAAACTATTCATCTGAGACGGGATTAATAACTGGAAATATAAGAAGCTCAAACAACTCAATAAAACAATTTAATTAAAAAACGAGCAAAAGACATGAGGAGACATTTCTCCACAAACAAAACATAGAAATGGCGATCACGTATATGAAAAAGTGCTCAGCATCACTCATCATCACAGAAATGTAAATTACAATCGCGATGAGTTTTCATCTCATCCCATTAAAATGCCTTTTAGGCCGGTGGCTCACGCCTGTAATTCCAGCACTTTGGGAGGCGGAGGTGGGCGGATCACCTGAGGTCGGGAGACCAGCCTGACCAACATGGAGAAACTCCCTCTCTACTAAACATACAAAAATTAGCTAGGCGTGGTGGCACATGCCTGTAATCCCAGCTACTTTGGAGGCTGAGGCAGGAGAATCAGTTGAACGCGGGAGGCAGAGGTTGCAGTGAGCCGAGATCACACCCTTGCACTCCAGCCTGGGCGACTATGAGTGAAACTCCATCTCAACATAAATAAATAAATAAATAAAGTAAAGTAAAATGGCTTTTATCTGCAAGACAGGCAAAACAAATGCTGGCAAGATGGTAGAGAAAGGAGAACCCTGGTACCCTGTTGGTAGGAATGTAAATTAGTACAACTATTATGGAGAAAAGTATGGAAAATCTTTAAAAAACTAAAAGGAGGCTGGGCATAGTGGCTTATGCCTGTAACTTCAGCACTTTGGGAAACCGAGGCAGGCACCTCACTTGAGGTCAGGAGTTTGAGAGCAGCCTGCCCAAAATTGGGATATCCCGTCTGTGCTAAAAAATACAAGAATTAGTCAGGCATGGTGGCGTGCACCTGTAATCACAGCTATTAGGGAGGCTGAGTCAGGAGAATCGTTTGAACCTAGGAAGCAGAGGTTGCAATGAGCCAAGATCGCACCACTTTGACTCCAGCTTGGACTAAGGAGGGAAACTCTTTCTCAAAAAAGAAAAAAAAAAAAAGAGAACTTTCATAGTGTCCAGCAATTTCACTACTGGGTTTATATCCAAAGGAAAGGACATCAGTGTATCGAAGTGATATCTGCACTCATATGACTGTTCCAGCACTGTTCACAGTAGCCAAGATGTGGAGTCAACCTACCTGCCTATCAGTGGGTGAATGGATAGAGAACTGTAGTACACACACACGGTGGAGACTACTCATCCATAGAAACAATAACATCCTGTCATTTGCAGCCACATGGATGGAACTGGAGGTCATTACAAAGATTCCCATTTCTCACCACATGCAGGAGATAAAAGGTGGATCTCATGAAGGTAGAGAATAGAATGGTGGATACCAGAGGCCAGGAAGGGAAGGGTGGAAGGTAACAAAAAAAAGAATATAGATGTATTTATTTATTTAGAAACAGAGTCTCTCTCTGTCTCCCAGGCTGCAGTGCAGTGGCATGATCTCGGCTCAGTGCAACCTCTGCCTCCTGGCTTTAAGTGCTTCTCCTGCCTCAGCCTCCCAAGTAGCTAGGACTACAGGTGCATGCCGGCATGCTTGGCTAATTTTTCTTGTCTGTTTAGTAAAGATGAATTTCCCGCATGTTGGCCAGGCTGATCTCGAGTCCCTGATCTTAAATGATCCACCTTTCTTGGCCTCTCAAAGCGCCAAGATTACAACCGTGAACCACCACACCCAGCATATAAAGGTATTTATGACCACTAGATTTTACTTTTAAAAATGGTAAAGTTGGTAAATTATATAGTTACATTTAACCTCAATAAATATTTTTGAAAATGAAAAGAAAAGAGTGTAGGGGTTGCTGGTGATGACATCTCTCTGTGTGGGTGAGAGGCCAGGATGGGCTTCTGGGAAATGGGTAAGGTTGAGGGGCTGAGGGAACCTCTGATCTCCCCAAACTGAGCCCAGTCTCCCCTTCTCTGGGTCTGTCCTGACCGCTTTCTCCATCTGCCTGGGTGCCTGGAGCCCTGACCATGGGCCTCCATGCAGGCCATGCAAGAGGGTTTGGAGGTGCCCTGTCTGCCATCCTGCACCCTGACCCCCCCCTCACACCCAGTCTTCGTGTTCTCTCTGCATCTGTCCGTGCTTCTCCCCATCATCGGCAGGAAGCTCCTCAGCTATGGCTCTAGGATCATAAGACATGGGACAGACACGGGTTTTCCTCACCTGTGACAGAAACAAGCAGTGGGTCACTTGAGTTTGACCACACGCAGGGCAGGGCATGGAAAGAGCCGAAGCATCTGTAGGTCCCTCCGTGGGTGGCAGGGCCCAGAGGAAAGTCTGCCTGGAATGTTCTGTTGACCTTGGGCACTGCACGGAGCCTACGTTCATGGGCCTCCCCTTCCCTGGACAGATGGTAGATGTCATAGGAGCTCCAGGAGCTACAGGACAAGGTCACGTTCTCTCCTGCCTGAACCGTGGGGCCCGGCTGGGCTGAGAGAGAAGGTTTCTCATATAGACCTGGAAGGAGAAGAGGCAGTTTCCTCAGGGAGGTTCTTCCTTGTCACAGCTCCCCTCATACCTGAGCTGAGAACTCACTCCCCTGCTCTATGACCTAATGCTCTCTCTCTCTCTCACCCTCCACCCCAACTCTCTTCATGTCTATTTCCTCCTTCCGCCTTCTCTGTCTCTCTAGGTCTCTGACCTCACTTCCCCACCCCTGGGTATGCTTTCCCTTTTTGGATTGTTTTATTCTCTCTGACTCTCCTTGGATTGGTTGACTTGATCTTCCTTTTTCTATAATTCTGAGTCTCTCACTTTCTGTCTTGTTCATAACTTTCTGCATATTTCTATCTATTATCTATCTATCTATTTTGTGTCTATCTACAAATTATCTGTCATCTATATCTATGTATCATTTATCTATCAATTGTCTATCTGTCTATCCATCAATCATCTATGTATTATCTGTATCTATGTATCATCTCTCTCTCTCTCTATTACCTCTCTGTCTGCCTGTCAGTCTCTATGTATCATCTATGTATCTATATATTTATATATGTGTCTTCTATCTATCTATCTTCATCATCATCATCATCATCATCTCTATGTATCATCTATCAATCATCATCTATGTATCTATAACCTATCCATTATCTATCATCTACCTATTTATCATCTATCTATATCTATCTATCCATCTATCATCTGTCTCTCTCCATCTCCTTGTCTTTCTCTGCCTCTCAGTCTCTCTAGTTCTATTTGGAATCTCTGCAATCCATCCCCACATCTTTATCTTTCTCTGTCTTTGTGCCCCTCCCTCAGGGTTCTGATTTTGGGGCTTTTCTCTCCTCCCTTCCAGCATTCTCTCCACTCCTCTGCCCTCTTTTCTTTCTTTTTGTGTGTCTGTGAGTCTCTCAATCCCCTTCCTCTGGCTCATTCTCTGTGTGTTTATGCCTTTGCTTTTTGAAGTCCCTGATTTATCTCTGTGTCTCTCAGTGATCCTATTATATGTAGGATTATTTGGAATATGAGCCTCAGAATCTAGTCTGGGGACACCAAGTACACACAGTATTTAGGGGTTGGTGTTCTGGGGCCATGATATCCTGGGATAATTATGGCTCCACTGCATGGAAGGCAGAGGTGTCAGAATAAACATGGCATCTGTAGATGCCACAAGGCCTGAGGCCACAGGGCCCAACTCAGGTCAGAAATATGGGTGTCCTTGGGTTCTCCTCGTAGAAGCACTTTGTGGAGACAAAACAGAAATGAAACTTCTAACCTGTGCCAGGTCTCTGAGCAAAGTCAGCATGGAAGGACACTTCTCTCTGGCACATGTCTGTCTGTCTGAGTGTCTCCTTTACCTCTTTCTCTCTTTTCTACTTCCCCGTATGGCCCCTGTGTCTGTCCTCTGTTATGACACCTGGTCTGTACTTATGTCTCCTGTTTCCCTGTCTCTGTTGGTACAGACCTCACCGAGTCAGTCTCTCTCCATAAGAATCCCACGCTTATCTTCCTCATGACCACCTGGGGGTTCCAAGTCCTGGATCATTCACTCTGTGTCCCAATGACAATGAGAAGAATGTCTGGACACTCTCACCTGTGATCACGATGTCCAGGGGGTCACTGGGAGCTGACAACTGATAGGGGGAGTGAGGAACAGAACCATAACATCTGTAGGTTCCTGCAAGGACAGGCATCAAGGGACCGATGGAGAAGTTGGCCTTGGAGACCCCATCATGGATCTGTCCAACGAGGCGTGAGGGGTCCTCAGAGATCCCCTCTCTGTGCAGAAAGAAATGCTCAAACATGACATCTGACCAACATTGCAGGATGACTGTCTCTCCTGATTTCAGCAGGGGCCCTGGGTGGGCCAGGAGGGAAGGTTTTCTGTGGTTTCCTAGAAAGAGAAGTTGTGAGTTTAGAAGGCATCTCTCTTTATCATCCCATCCATGGCACCTGGAATGAGTGAGGGTTCCCCTCCCAGAGGTCTGTCTCTCTCCTCCCTCTCTGTGTCTCCGTGTCTTTTCTGTGCCCATATCCCCTGGTGCAGGTCCCTCCATTTGTCTTCCTCCCTCTTCTCTGTCCCTCTGTCTCCAGTAGCCCCTGACTCCCTTCCCACTGTGAAGAGAGCCTCATCTCTTGGGCTGTTGTATCTCTTTCCCACTAGTCTCTTTCCTGCTGTCTATGTGGGGGTGGAAGAGGACAGGCTGCATGTCCAGGCTCTCAGCAGCCTGAATCAATCTCTTTTGAACAAATTGGAGTCTCTGGCAGAGGTATCAACTCATCAGTAAGGCAGACATCAGTGTCCACACACCCTGTTCCTGATGGGGATTGGGAGCCTCTCCTGCCATGTCTGTGCCTTCTCCATGGCCCCAGCTTCCATAGGGTGGTCCCTGGTGCTGGTTCCAGGAGCATCAACCCCTTCCTATGTGGATGGAGCCTGGTGGTGGCATCAGCATCCCACCCTTGCTGATCCCACGGTAGCCAACCTTCTCCTTGTTTGGTTTCTTTAATTAATTGATTAATTAATTTATTTTTGAGACAGTCACTTTTTCACCCAGGCTGGAGTGCAGTGGTGTTGTCTTGGCTCACTGCAACCTCTGCCTCCCCGGTTCAAGTGATTATCTTGCCTCAGCCTCCCCAGTCGTTGGATTACTCATGCCCACCACCACACCTGGCTATCCTTGTTTGGTTTCCTAGCTTGTCCTTGACCTGGGTTCCTGTGTCGGTTTCCTGTTGCTGCTGCAGAAAATTATCACAAACATGGCAGCAGGAGAGAACACACTGACCCCTTCCACTTCTGGGGACAGAAATTGGATCCAGTTCTCCCTGTGCTGAAATCAAGGCATCTGCAGGGCTGCGTTCCCTCTGGAGAATCAGCGAATCAGTTCTCTTGACTTCTCCAGCCCTTAGAGGCCACCTGCATTCTGTGACTAGTGGCCTTCCTCCACCTTCAAAGCCCACAGTGGCTGATAGCGTCTCCCTCCCACTACACTGCTCTAATCCCCACTCCCCTCTTCCTCCACCTCTCACGCGGACCCTTGTGATTACACTGAGCCCAGCAGGACAGTCCAGGCTGTCTCCCCATCTCAAGGTCAACTCATCAACAACCTGAGCTCCACCTTCCCCTTCAGTCCCCTGCCCTATAACATAAATAGTCACAGGCTCCAGGGTTTACAATGTAGCCATCATTGGCGACAGTTATTCTTCCCACCACAGCGCCCATTTCCCCTGTATTCAATCCCCCTTGACCCCAAATACAGTTGGGGCCTGGGTGATGGGACCCTGATGGACACCCCCACCAGAAGCTCTGGGATTCAGGAGGTGGGACAGTGAGAAGCCCAGACAGAAAGCCTCTGACCTGTGACCATGATCACCAGGGGGTTGCTGGGTGCCGACCACCCAGTGAGGGAGTGTGGGCGTGAACCCCGACATCTGTAGGTCCCTGCATGTGCTGGGGTCACAGGGCCCATGATGAAGCTCTCCTGGAATATTCTGCCGTGGAAGATGGGAACGTGGCTTCTGTCTTCTTTGTACAGCATGAAATTGTTAAACCCACGACGATAGTGACACTGAAGAGCCACATGTCCTCCTCGAGGCACCACAGTGCTGGGCCGGGCAGACAGGAAGGGTTTGTCCTGACCACCTGGGGGAGAAGGAGGCACTGCCTTAGAGAGGAGGATGTGGAGCCACCCCTCACTCCCTGTGCTCAGAAGATTCTCCCATTTCCGCTTTCTAAGGCTCCTACCACACCTGGGTGCCCAGGGCTACAGGAAGGACCCACCCCACATAGACATGGCGTCTCCCTACAACAAGTGTCAGCTGAGAACTTTGAGCAAGTGCTGAATAAGTGACTCTTACTAGATTTTAATACTGCAAAATTACTCACATAAAACAACACAAAGTAGACACGGCGTGGAGGGCATGTCCTATGTGAATGGAATATCAGCCAATTCATGAACTGAGCCCCCTCAGAGGATTTGGAATGTCAGGGCCATGGCTGTGGTTTCCCCCCTCTTCTGGTAGAAAGACCGCAGCCACACTGCAGCCCCTACCGTCACGGAAACGCTGGAGGGTGTCAGTTATACCTTTGTCCTCAGAGGACCTGCTGTTCCTAGCACTGCTTCCCTCTCTTTCTCTGCTGCTGACACCACTTCCTCCCTGCACACCCCAGCTTGGAGCACCCCAGTCTCACCCCAGTCTTCACAGAGCTTGACTCAGGAAAGGGAAAGAAAGGCCGGGGAGGGCGAGGTCAGAAATGTGGGCCGAGTATCCAAGGGTCCCCTCTTCCTAGTTTATGAGAGACTCCCCGACAGGACTTCCCTCCTGTTTCAGAAAAATCCTCTTATGTGGGGAGATGACACCCTAAGGTTTGGGGAAGGACTCACCCATGAGTGGCCAGGCCCCCTGCAGCAAGAAGAACCCTGGAAAGAAAGATCATGATAGACGATCCAACTGCAGGCAAACCAGGGCACCCTGCTGCCCCCACTGCACTGTGTGTCTTGGCAGCCAGGCCCTTGCTGGGCTGAAGGTAAACTTAGCCTCCCTGCTACCTGCTGCCAAGAACAGGGCTCTCAGCTGTGGAGAGACCCAGGCTCCAGGCCCAGATCAACACTTCCTGGCCCAGATCTCCACTCCAGGCCCATATCTCCACTCCAGGCCCCTATCTCCACTCCAGGCCCCTATCTCCACTCCAGGCCCATATCTCCACATCAGACCCATATCTCCACTCCAGGCCCAGATCTCCCCTCTAGGCCCATATCTCCACTCCAGGCCCATATCTCCACTCCAGGCCCATATCTCCACATCAGACCCATATCTCCACTCCAGGCCCATATCTCCACTCCAGGCCCAGATCTCCACCTGCAGGCCCATATCTCCACTCCAGGCCCATATCTCCACTCCAGGCCCGTATCTCCACTCCAGGCCCATATCTCCACACCCAGGCCCATATCTCCCCTCCAGGCCCATATCTGCACTCCAGGCCCATATTTACACCTCCAGGCCCATATCTCCACACCCAGGCCCATATCTCCACTCCAGGCCCATATCTCCACTCCAGGCCCATATCTTTACCTCTAGGCCGAGATCTCCATCCCCACTCTCCCTCCCTCTATTCCCTTCCAGGACTCACCAACGCACGCCATGCTGACGACAGTGAGCGACATGGTGCTGCCGGTGCAGACAGGAGGCCGCGCCCCAGCTCAGCTCAGCAGCGCACAGGATGTTATTTGGCGCCCTGCCCATGCAGTTTACATGTTGACCACATCATGGGAGGGTGACGTACGCAGGCTCTTTCTACCTTGCATGAGGCCCAGTGGGTGCTCGCTCAAGAGCGGAACATGGCTTCCTGGAAATTGTTGTGACTACAATTGCCACCTTGCATCCTTCACTATGACCAGACTCAAAAGACGTCTCAGATCCAACCTCTCACACATGAGGTGATTGAATTCTGTGCTTACATTAAAGACTTTTGATGTATTTTTGTTTTTATCTGAGATTCAAACTTTTCTTCATGTGTAATGTGCAAAATATCTAAGAGGTATTATTAACATTATCAGAGTAATTGTGACAAAAAGCCATTCTAATTTTCCTGATGAGTTTCTAGTACTAAACCTGAGGCACGAGAATTGCTTGAACCTGGGAGGCGGAGGCTGCAGTGAGCTGAGCTCAAGCCACTGAACTCCAGCTTGGGTGACAGAGGAAGAGTCTGTCTCAAGAAAGAAAAAAAAAAGCAAACTAAATAACCTATAATAACAAATCAGAGAACTCAGGTTACCAAATTTTAAGGGGTTCTATAAGTTTATATGAAATGCAGCATCCTCATGAGAGGGGATACAGAGAACCACTGGGCAGAAAACTGTGTCTAAAATACATCTGTGGATACACAGTCCCTTTATAGTTGACAAAGGCTGCCATGTAGTTTAAGGTGGAATAGAATATTTTCTCAATAAATAACACAGGACCATAGGGTTACACGTAGGAAAAAATAAATCTAAACTTATCCTCACACTATAAAAACACTTCTTATTTTTTATCTTGTTGTTGTAAACTTTTTATGCTTTATTTTTAAGATTGACAAATAAAAATTATATACTGTGGTCCTTCACTATTCCTGGGTGATTGGTTCCAGGATCCCCATTCAGATACCAAAATCTGCAGATGCTCAAGCCCCTTGCATGAAATGGCATAGCGAAGCTGGGCACCGTGGCTCACGCCTGTAATCCCAGCACTTTGGGAGGCTGAGTTGGGTAGATCACGAGGTCAGGAGTTCAAGACCAGCTGGTCCAACATTCTGAAACCCCGTCTCTACTAAAAATACACACACAAAAAAATTTATCTGTGCATGGTGGCACGTGCCTGTAATCCTAGGGGAGGCTACTGGGGAGGCTGAGGGAAGACAATCGCTTGAACCTGGGAGGCGGAGGTTGCAGTGAGCTGAGATCATGCCACTGCACTCCAGCCTGGGTGAGAGAGTGAGACTGTCTCAAAAAAAAAAAAAAAATAGCATAGCAATTGCATAGAACCCATGCACATCCTCCTGTATACATGAAATCATCTCTTGATTACTTATAATTCCTGACACAGCCTACACGCCACTCAATTTGTGTCGATTCAACATAGTTTTTTGCTTCTTGAAACTTCGGGGATTTTTTTCTGAAAATATTTTTGATTTATTGTTGGTTCAATAAACACCTGTAAACCCCACAGATATGGAGGACCGACTGTATATTTATATTATGAAAGATGATATGTTGATATGTGTCCCCGTGGAGATGAGACTAACAAGGCCTATGTCTCTACAAATGTTTCATCGTGGAATGACTCTGCCAGCTTTCCAGGTCTGCAGAGAGTAAGAATATCACTTGTTCATGTGATTCACGATCCTTGGAGCCTCCTATGTGCTGTATCTTTGGATGGAAATTGGAGTCTCAGAGACAAATCAGGCTACATTCTGCTTCCAGAAGCTCAGAGTCCAGGGCTGAGAACCCAATGGAGAACAGATGGGGTTATGTGGACATGGTAATGATAACACCGGAAGCCTTAGGCAAGAAAAGAGTCTCGTTACCGAAACCATGAGGGCAGACATGTTTATTTGAAGGCGGGAAAACTACATTGAAATTATTTAAAAAATTTATAAGTTTTACTGCTGGCAGAAGGCTGAAAGATAGTCTGAAGGGAGGTGGAACAGCACCTGTCTAAGTGCTGTGTTAAGAGGCAGCCTCTTGTATGTTTGGAATTGTGAGTTCCTCAGTGTGATTGCAGCCTCAGGTAGACTAGGAAGTAAGCCAGTTAGGTTGGAGAGGTGGGCAGGGGTCAAGTGAAATGGAGAATTGTGGGCTAAGCAAAGGAGTGTGTTTTCTCTCCAGCAGGCAGTGGGGACCTTAGACATTTGTAAGCAAGAGAGAGGCATGTTCAGATTCGTGGTGTGAGGAAGAGCGATGCCCTAAGATGAAGACTGATGCCTTCAGATTCCAGCTGCTGGTACATGGGAGCTGGCAACCCGGTTTTGAGACAGGGCTGTTGTCTCCCTAGAAGATCCCCTCAAGGCCTGACTGTGGTGCTCGTGGACAGAAGACAACTTTGGATCTGGGCTCAGCATTTGGAAGTTCTATGTACATGCTGGTATCTGTTGGGGGTGTCTTGGGCCTCTCAGAAGGGCGAGTGATTTTTCTCTGTGTGAAAACACAGTGATCCAATTATGCGTATGACACCTCCTGATGGTCTTGTTCATCAGAATCCTGGAGAGAGGGAAATGCTGAGTGAGGGAGGGTGCTCACATTTTTCAGGACTCTTTGGGAATAAGACTAGCCACGAGGCTGGGCCGAGGAGCACCTACCTCGCTGTTCACTGTTCTGTTCCCTGCAGGCTCTTGGTCCATTACAGCAGCATCTGTAGAAGACGGAAGTCAACAAAAGAGCTCGGAGGGCACTTCTGGGTCCTCATTTCATAAGCAGATACCAACAAACAGGGGGAGGCCATAGGTGCCTGAGGTCCCTCAGTTGCCAACAGCAGACTCAGACATTCTATCTCTCTGAGTTCAAGGACCCATCCCATGAATAGCTCTGAGGTCCCATCCCATTGATTCTATCTCCCACTTTCTGCCTGTCATGGAACCTTCTCCTGGATGTGAGTGGCTGCAGGGGACGTGAGGATACAGTTCAGAATCAGGCAATGGTCTGTGAGCTGAAGGCAGGGGAAGGGAATCTGGTGCTCTCTCTAGAAAGTCCTGCCTCTGTGGCTCCTGTCTTGGGCCAGGGACCATCCTGCTGGTGAGGAACACACATCCGCGTGCTCCCATCCTGCTTCCCCACATGGCCCTGAGCTCTCTGGCCTCTGCTTCGTGAGACTTACTTTTTTTGTCGGAGCACCAGCGATGAAGGAGAAAGAAGAGGAGGATGGTGAAAGGGATTTTGACCACTGAGGTCCCAATCAGAACATGTAGGTGTCTGGGGTTACCTGGAAGAAGAGGAGACACCAATAAGAAGCTAATCATAGCAGTTCCTCTTTATGAATTGTCTCGCATTTCTTGATTGGCAGGTAACCACATACAACGTCTCTTTAGGACAAGCACCCAAATGGCGGGAGACCTAGCTTTCCCCTGCTTTCTCAATTATAGCTCTCATAGTAACCATAGAACGTGCTGAGGATACAACTACTTTAGTTGAGATGTTTGACCCTTTCAAACCTCACATTGAAATTTCACCCCCATTGTGGGAGGTTGGGCCTCTTCAGAGGTGTTTGGGTCATGGAGGTGGATCCATCATGAACAGATCAATGCTGTCCCAAGGAGACGGGGTTAGCAAGTTCCCCCTCTGTTAGTTCCTGGAGAGCTGGTTGTTAAAAAGAGCTTGGAAGCTCCATCGCTCCCTCTCCCCCTTACTCTCTCTCTTGCCGTGTGATCTCTGCGGTCTCTGCACAGACAGACCCTCCTTCCCTTCTGCCAGAGTGGGAGCAGCCTGAGGCCGTCAAGAGAAATAGATTCTGGTGCCATGCTTCCAGTACAGCCTGCAGAACTGTGAGGCAAACCAATCTCTTTTCTTTAGAAGTTACCCAGGCTCAAGTGTTCCTTTAGAGCAACAAAAATGGACTAAGATAGCAACATCCTGAGATCAGGAGGAATGTCTCAGAACAGCCTGGGCTGTCTTCCTGTTCTTCCTGGAGGAGGACGTCATGCAGTGCTTTAGCTGAGTGCTTCCTGTGGCTCCAGGGTACAAAACCCAGGCTGGGCTGCTTTCTGGCTTCCCCCAGTTACACTGCAAATGGGGTGACTCCATATGTCCCGAGCAGCTTTTCTGAGCCTTGAGGGACTGGCTCACATTGAAATGCAGGCTTCTGTTGTCACTCGCTGCTTATCTGTTAGTAATGAACCTGCCTATGTAACGTATCCTCTGTGTGTTCTGTCTCCCTGGAGTGACGGTGAGTGATAGGAATTGGCATAGGCCCAGGTGCAGTCCAGGATTTGTTTAGAGTCTTCTCTGGGAAGACTGCACTGGGATTGATACACAGCGAATGTGCTTTAGGATTTCTACATCCACAGCATTCTTGAGTCAAACAAATTGCATTCACCAAGGAAAGGAAACAAAGGTGAAATCACGATTAAAAATAGCGAAGCAAGATTCTCTTATGTCAAACAGCCAGAAAATAGTGTTGAAGCCCGTGTGAAATGTGCTGCTCTTTGTGATCTCGGGAGACACATGTTAGGCTGCTGTTCTACCCGAGAGGCTGGGGGAAGGACCACCCCCTCCACCATCTATTGCTTCAATACCACCTGTCCTCCTGTGAATTAGTAGGAAAGGGGAACAGGAGCTAGTGCTGTCGCTGATCTCTGATTCCAAGATCTGGACTCACTCCAAGGAATATTAATGTTTCCTCCCCATGGTCTATCTGAATCTCCACAGGTGATTGGAAGTAGGGGTGAGGTGGGCGATTTGGGTGAGTGGGCAAGTTTTTTTTTGCGATGACCAGAGCACATTCTCTATTCCAGGATCCGTGCTGGAGGATTCAGCGGGCTTTCACATTTTCTATGTGATCTCATGCTCACAGAAAGCCAAATAGGGAAGAGGTTTTAGGCTCATTGCCTAATGGATAAGATAAAGGATCAAAGAAGTAATTATAGAGAAATAGAAAAACGATGATTGGAATTCAGGTGCCTTTGTCATTCGTGTGTGTTTTATTATATTTATGCATTTCTTATTTTTATTTTTTGAGACGGAGTCTCCTTGTGTCACCCAGGCTGGAGTGCAGTGATGCAATCTCCACTCACTGCAACCTCCACCTCCTGGGTTGAAGTCATTCTCCTGCTTCATCCTCCAGAGTAGGAGCTGGGATTACAGGGATGCACCACCATGCTCGGCTAATTTTTGTATTTTTAGTACAGATAGGGTTTCACCATGTTGGCCAGGCTGGTCTGGAACTCCTGACTTCATGGAATCCACCCGCCTTGGCCTCCTGCAGGGCTGGGTTACAAGCATGAGCCACCGTTCACAGACTTGTATATTATGCTATAATAGGTCCCTTCATTTCCACCACCCCTCATATATCTGTCACTCCTTTGCCAGGTATTGATTTATGTGTAGGATGAATAAATCTCAGAAAGAAATTAATTAAGCGAGGATTAAACAAGTAGGAAAATCAAACCCAGCAAGCCTTTCCAGCCAATGATTCTACCTCACAAGCATATCTTATATCCATCTACTTCATTCATTTAGTGTCTAAATCAGCACCACATTTCACCAGTGGGGCGGCAATTGCCTTTTCCACAGTCTCCTAGATTCCAGTTACGCACCTGGGCCTCCCTTATTTTCTTGTCAGTCACTATTAATCATGTAGGGATTCCTGGTTACCCCGAGGTGAATCCAATGGCTGTGAGTGTCAAACACACACTCCTTGTTCCTCCTTAGTTTCCTGTGTACCCAGAGTGCTCTCCATCTCTCTACAGTCATCTTGTCATTCTCCCCACCTCATTCCCAGCATTTCAGGCAGAGCCTCTTCCTTCAACATCAGATTGTTTTCACCTTTGTGCCTTCACAGCTGACAGCTGTGTGTGGAAAATCCTTCCGCCAATCTTTCAGGGGTTCAATCCGTGTTTTTCATTAATGTCACAAATATCTGATTAGTGAGACCTTCTCTGTCACCCAAAATTATACACTCAGCATTATCTATTATTTATTTTGAATTCTGGCTGGGCAAAGTGGCTCACGCCTGTAATCCCAGTACTTTGGGTTGCTGAGATGGTCGGATCACTTGAGGTTGGGAGTTTCAGACAAGCTTGGCCAACATGGTGAAACATCCTCTCTACAAAAAATATACAAAAAGAATTAGCCGGGCATGGTGGCAGTTGCCTGTAATCCCAGCTACTCGAGAGGGTGAGGCAGGAGAATCACTTGGATCCAGGAGACGCAGGTTGCAGTGAGCCAAGATCGTGACACTGCACTGTAGCCTGGAAGACAGAGGGAGACTCTGTCTCAATAAACAAACGAACAAACAAACAAATAGATTTCATGCACAGATGCTTCCCAATGGATCATTCATTTATTGGTCCACTTGTGCATTCATTTTCTGTCCTCCCATTTAACCATCTGCAATATCAGTGTCCCAAGAGCAGAGGCCAAATGCATCTTGTTCACCATTTGTGGAAGGCAGGAGAATGCTGTCCCACCCCAAAATGTCCCTGTCCTAGCCTCCATAGCTTGTGAATATGTTATTTTACATGGAAAGGAGGAATGAAGATTGCAGATGGAATTATGGTTGCTAATCAGCTGAACTTAAAACAAGGGTATCCTGAATGATTTCCGGGAGATTATGACGGATTTTCATCTTGGTGAACCCAATAGAATCCCCAAGTTTTCAAAAGATGAGGAAGAAGGGAGAGCAGCATTCAGAGAAAGAGGTGTGGTAAGGAAGAAGGGTCTGAGTGATGCCATGTGAGATGTGACCAGTCTTTGTGGGTTTTGAGGAAGGAGGAAAGGGACCAGCAGCCAAGGAACTGGGAGCCTTTATAAGATGGGACAAGTGAGAAGCAGATTCTTGCCTGGAATCCTCAGAGGGAAGGCAGGCTTGCTGTCATCTTGATTTTAGCCCAGTGAGATGCACTTCATGCTTTGAGCTAGAGCACTGTAAGATAATTAAATAACCGTTTTGTTTTCACCCACGAATCTTGTGGAAATTTGTTATGGCAACAATAGGAAAAGCTTCCACACTGCACAACCTGAGCATGGGGCCGTGGCTGAATAAGTCAGTGAGTCAAAGTGTGCGTGCATGAGCTCTGTTCTCTGTTACGGCAAGGCTCTTGCTCTGCTGAGTCAGCCAGGGTTGTTTCATGACCAACAGGAGCTCATTCCTTGGCAAGTGGAACTTCTCTAAAACACCTCGCCCTCATCAGATGTTCGCTTCCCTTCCCTCTCTCAAGCCCCCAGGAATTTATCCTCCAGTTAGGAATGCAAGCAGAACAAACATTGCGTTTTTCCTGAGAAGGATGTCAGATTGGCAATCATTCTTCTAGCTTGTAGGAGGTCTCAGCTCCATAAAATGAGAGATGAAGAGATTTCACTGAGCCCTGTGTTGGGCCCAGATCCCTTTCGCTGTTGGAGTATCTGGAGTTCGGAGATGGTAGAAGACAGGCGTACAATGTCAGAGCTGTGAGATGCTGAGTCAACGCCTGAATCCAAGGTTTCCACCTCCCCAGGGTTCCAAAAGCGGATATAAGAGGGTCCTGTACTCACCGGTTTTGGAGCTTGGTTCAGTGGGTGAAGGCCAACTATTTGAAGGGTTTCCTAGAACATGAGACAGGAGAGAGGTGAGGAAATGAGGGTGTCTGTCCTCTACTCAGTGGAAATCTTTGAGTTTGGTTCATGGCCAACACTCTGTTATCTAACATTGGGCCCTGGGAGTCCAGGGATCCTTTCTTCCATAATTTTTGTATGTGACGCCCACTGTCTTGAGACTTCAAGGTATAAAGAGAAAACAGGAGCATCACACTACCTGATCTCAAAATATGTTACAGAGCTGTAGTAAGCAAAACAGCATGATGTTGGCATGAAGAAAGGCACATAGAACAACGGAGCAGAATGAAGAACACAGATATAATCCATGCATTTACATCCAATTTTTTTTATTTTTTCTTTTGAGATGGAGTCTCGCTCTGTCACCCAGGCTGGAGTGCAGAGGTGCAATCTCGGTTCACTGCAACCTCAGCCTCCTGGGTTCAATCAATTCTCTTGCCTCAAACTCCTGAGTAGTAGTATTACAGGTGCTGACCACCATGCTCAGCTAATTTTTATATTTTTAGTGGAGACGATGTTTCATCACGTCGGCCAGAGTAATCTTGTACTCCTGTCCTCAGGTGATCCACCAGCCTTGGCCTCCCAAAGTGCTGAAGTTGCTGGTGTTAGCCACCATGCCCAGCCCATCCAATGGACTTTGACAAAGGTGCCAAGAACTCACAATCAGGAAAGGACAGTTTTTTCAATAAACAGTGCAGGGAAACCTGGACATCTACATGCAGAGGAATGAAACTGCACCTCTACCTGTCACCATACACAAAAATCAAATGAAAGTGGATTAAAGATGTGAGTCTAAGGCCTGAACCTGTGAAACACGTAGAAGAAAATATTGGGGAAATGCTCCAGTACATTTGTCTGAAGGAAGACATTTTGTTTTAAACCTTCAAAACACAAGTAATCGAAGCAAAAATAGACCATTGGGATTACCTCAAACTAAGCAACTTCTGCACCGCTAAAAATAAACCAACAAAGTGAAGAGACAACCCACAGATTGGGAGCAAATATGTGCAAACTATGCATCTGAGACGGGATTAATAACTAGAAGTATAAGAAGCTCAAACAACTCAATAAAACAAATGATTTAATTGAAAAAGGAGCAAAAGACATGAAATTTCCCCACATACGAAAAAGTGCTCAGTATCACTCATCATCAGAGAAACGCGAATTAAAATCAAAGTGAGTTTTCATCTCACCCCATTAAAATGGCTTTTAGGCCGGGCGAGGTGGCTCACGTCTGTCATCCTAGAACTCTGAGAGCCCGAGGTGGGCGAATCTCATAAGGTCGGGAGTTTGAGACCAGTCTGACCCACATGGAGAAACGCTGTCTCTACTAAAAATACAAAAATTAGTCGGGCGTGGTGGCGTGTGCCTGTAATTCCAGCTACTCGGGAGGCTGAGGCAGGAGAATCGCTTGAACCTGGGAGGTGGAGGTTGCGGTGAGCCGAGATCGCACCACTGCACTCCAGCCTGGGTGACAAGAGCGAAACTCCATCTCAAAATAAAATGAAATAAAATAAAATGGCTTTTAGCTGCAAGACAGGCAAAACAAATGCTGGCAAGGTGGTAGAGAAAGGAGAACCCTGGTACCCTGTTGGTAGGAGTGTAAATTAGTACAGCCATTACGGAGAAAAGTATGGAAGTCCTTTAAAGAACTAAAAAGAGGTTGGATGAAGTGGATCATGCCTGTAATCCCGGCACTTTGGGAGACCGAGGCGGGCACCTCAGTTGAGGTCATGAGTTTGAGAGCAGCCTAGCCAACCTGGGGAAACCCCATGTACACTAAAAAAAACCAAAAAGTATCCCGGCATGGTGGCGTGCACCTGTAATCCCAGCTACTAGGGAGGCTGAGGCAGGAAAATCATTTGAACCCAGGAGGCGGAGGTTGCAATGAGCCAAGATCACATCACTTGTACTCCAGCCTGGGCACAGAGGGAAACTGTCTCAAAAACAAAAACAAAACAACAAACGAAAAACTAAAAAGAGAACTTTCATAGTATCCAGCAATTTCACTACTGGGTTTATATCCAAAGGAAAGTAAATCAATGTATCGAAGTGATATCTGCACTCGTATGATTGGTGCAGCACTCTTCACAGTAGCCAAGATGTGGAGTCAACCTACCTGCCCATCAGTGGATGAATGGATAGAGAGAATGTAGTACATACGCACAGCGGAGACTACTCATCCATAGAAAGAATAACATCCTGATATTTGCAGCCACATGGATGGAACTGGAAGTCATTACAAATATTCTCATTTCTCACCCATATACAGGAGCTAAAAGGTGGATCTCATGAAGATAGAGAGTAGAATGGTGGCTACCAGAGGCCAGGAAGAAAAGGGTGGAGGATAAAACAAACAAACAAAAAATTTATATGTATGTATTTATGACCACTAGACCTTACACTTAAAATTGGTAAACGTGGCCGGGCGCGGTGGCTCATGCCTGTAATCCCAGCACTTTGGGAGCCTGAGGCGGGTGGATCACGTGGTCAGGAGTTCCAGAGCAGCTCGACCAACATGGTGAAACCCCCTCTCTACTAAATATACAAAAAGTAGCCCGGCGTGGTGATGGGCGCCTGTAGTACCAGCTACTCAGGTGGCTGAGGCAGGAGAATCGCTTGAACCCAGGAGGCGGAGGTTACAGTGAGCTGAGATTGTGCCACTGCATTCCAGCATAGGAGACAGAGCTAGACTCCACCTCAAAAAAAAAAAAATGTTAAAAGTGGTAAGCTATATAGGTATATTTAACCTCAATGAATATTTTTTCAAACAAAAAGAAAAGGATGTAGGGGTTGCTGGTGATGACATCTCTGTGTGGGTGAGAGGCCAGGAAGGGCTTCTGGGAAATGGGTAAGGTTGAGGGGCTGAGGGAACCTCTGATCTCCCCAAACTGAGCCCAGTCTCCCCTTCTCTGGGTCTCTCCTGACCGCTTTCTACATCTGCCTGGGTTTCTGGAGCCCTAATCGGAGGCCTCCATGCAGGCCATGCAGGAGGGTTTGGAGGTGCTGTGTGTGCCATCCTGCGCCCTGATCCCTCCCTCACAGGCATGCTGCGTCTTCTCTCTGCATCTGTCCATGCTTCTCTCCATCATCAGCAGGAAGCTCCTCAGCTAAGGCTCTAGGATCATAGGACATGGGACAGATATGGGGTTTCCTCACCTGTGACGGAAACAAGCAGTGGATCACTCGAGTTTGACCACTCGTAGGGAGCGTCACGGAAAGAGCCGAAGCATCTGTAGGTCCCTCCGTGGGTGGCAGGGCCCAGAGGAAAGTCGGCCTGGAATGTTCCGTTGATGCTGCGCACTGCAGGGAGCCTACGTTCATGGGCCTCCCCTTCCCTGGATAGATGGTACATGTCATAGGAGCTCCGGGAGCTGCAGGACAAGGTCACATTCTCTCCTGCCTGAACCGTGGGGCCCGGCTGGGCTGAGAGAGAAGGTTTCTCATATAGACCTGGAAGGAGAAGGGGCAGTTTCCTCAGGGGGGATCTTCCTTGTCACAGCTCCCCTCACACCTGACCTGAGAACTCACTCCCCTGCTCTATGGCCTAATGCTCTCTTTCTCTGTCTCACCCTCCACCCTATCTCTCTTCATGTCTATTTCCTCCTTCCACCTTCTCTGTCTCTGTAGGTCTCTGACCTCACTTCCCTACCTCTAGTTATGTTTTCCTTTTTTGGATTGTTTTATTCTCTCTGGCTCTCCTTGGATTGGTTGACTTGATGTTACTTTTTTTAACTCTGAGTTTCTCAGTTTGTGTCCCGTTCATAACTTTCTGCATATTTCTATCTATTATCTATCAATCCATCTATTTATCTATTCGGTGCCTATCTACAAATTCTCTACCTGTCATCTATATCTATATATCATCTATTTATCTATCAATTGTCTATCCGTCAATCATCTATTATCTATATATATGTATCATCTCTCTCTCTCTATTATTTCTCTCTTTGTCTTCCTCTCTATCTCTATGTATTATCTATCCATCTATCTTCATCATCATCATCTCTATGTATCATCTATTAATGAATCAATCAATCATCATCTATGTATCTATAACCTATTATCTATCATCTACCTATATATCATCTATCTATATCTATCCATCATCTATCTGTATCTATCCATCTATCATCTGTCTTGCTCTGCCTCTCGGTCTCTCTAGTTCTCTTTGGAATCTCTGCAATTCATCCCCACATCTCCATCTTTCTATGCCCTTGTGCCTCGCCCTCAGGACTCTAATTTTAGTGGTTTTCTCTGCTCTCTTCCATCATTCTCTCCACTTCTCTGCCCTCTTCTCTCTCTTTATGTGTCTGTGAGTCTCTCAATCTCCTTCCTCTGGCTCTTTCTCTGTGTGTTTATGTCTTTGCTTTTTGGTGTCCCTGATTTCTCTCTGTGCTTCTCAGTGATCCTCTCATATGTGATATGTGGGGTTATTTGGAATGTGAGCCTCAGAATCCAGTCTGGAGACCACAAGTTCACACAGCATACAGGGGTTGGTGTTCTGGGGCCATGATATTTTGGGACGATTATTCTCCATTGCATGGAAGTCAGAGGTGTCAGAATAAGCATGGCATCTGTAGGTGCCACAAGGCCTGAGGCCACAGGGCCCAACTCAGGTCAGAAATATGGGTGTCCTTGGGTTCTCCTGGTAGAGAACACTTTGTGGAGGTAAAACAGAAATGAAACTTCTAACCTGTGCCAGGTCTCTGAGCAAAGTCAGCATGGAAGGACACCTCTGTCTGGGACATGTCTGTCTGTCTCCTTTAACTCTTTCTGTCTTTTCTAACTCCCTGTATGGCCCCTGTGTTTGTCCTCTGTTATGACACCTGGTCTGTACTTGTGTCTCTTGTTTCTCTGTCTCTGTTGGCACAGACCTCACCAAGTCAGTCTCTCTCCATAAGAATACCAAGCTCATCTTCCTTACAACCACCTGGGTCTCCAAGTCCTGGATCATTCACTCTGCATCCCAATGACAATGAGAAGAATGTCTGGACACTCTCACCTATGATCACCATGTCCAGAGGGTCACTGGGAGCTGACAACTGATAGGGGGAGTGAGGAACAGAACCGTAGCATCTGTAGGTTCCTGCAAGGACAGGCATCATGGGACCAATGGAGAAGTTGGCCTTGGAAACCCCATCATGGTGCTCTCCAATGAGGTGCAAAGTGTTGTTAAACTTCCCCTCTCTGTGCAGAAGGAAGTGCTCAAACATGACATCCGACCAACATTGCAGGATGACTGTCTCTTCTGATTTCACCAGGTGACCTGGGAGGGCCAGGAAGGAAGGTTTTCTGTGGACTCCTAGGAAGAGAGGTTGTGAGTTTAGAAGGTGTCTCTCTTTATCATCCCATCCATGGCACCTGGAATGAGTGAGCCTTCCCTTCGCTGGTGTCTGTCTCTCTGCTTCCTCTCTGTGTCTTCATGTTCTTTTCTGTGCCCATAACTCCTGGTGCAGGTCCTTCCATCTGTCTCCCTCCCTCTTCTCTGTCCCTCTGTCTCTAGTAGCTGTGATTCCCTTCCCACTGGGCTCAGCCTCATCTCTTGGGCTGTTGTATCTATTTCACACTAATGTCTTTCTTACTGTCTATGTGGGAGTGGAAGAGGAAGCAGGATAGGCTGCACGTCCCGGCTCTTAGCAGCCTGGTTCAATCTCTTTTGGACGAATTGGAATCCTTGGCAGGAGGTATGAACTGATCAGTAAGGCAGGCACCAGTGTCCACACACCCTGTTCCTGGTGGGGACTGGGAGCCACTCTTGCCATGTCTGTGCCTTCTCCATGGTGCCAGTTTCCATAGGCTGGCTCCTCGTGCTGATTTGAGGAGTATCAACCCCTCCCTATGTGGATGGAGCCTGGTGGTGGCATCATCATCCCACCCTTGCTGATCTCGGTGCAGCCAACCTTCTCTTTGTTTGGTTTCTTTAATTAATTAATTAATTTTGGAGACAGAGTCTCACTCCTTCACCCAGGCTGGAGTGAAGTGGTGTGGTCTACGCTCACTGCAACCTCTGTCTCCTGGGTTCAAGCGATTCTCCTGCTCTCAGCCTCCCGAGTCGCTAGGATTACATGCACCTGCCACCATGCCTGGCTATCCTTGTGTCTTTTCTTAACTTGTCCTTGACCTGGGTTCCAGTGTTGGTTTCCTGTTGCTGCTGTAGAAAATTATCAGAAGCATGGCAGCAGGAGAGAGCACACTGACCCCCTCCGATTCTGGAGACAGAAAGCGGACCCTGTTTTTCGAGGGCTAAAATCAAGGCATCTGCAGGGCTGTGTTCCCTCTGGAGACTCAGGAGAATCAGTTACTTGACTTTCCCAGCCTCTATAGGCCACCTGCATTCATGGCTTATGGCCTTCATCCACCTTCAAAGCTGATGGAGTCTCCCACTACGCTGCTCTAATCCCCACTCTCCTCTTCCTCCTCCTTTCATGTGGACACTTGTGATTATACTGAGCCCACCGGGACAGTCCAGGCTGTCTCCCCATCTCAAGGTCAACTCATCAACAACCTGAGCTCCATCTTCCCCTTCAGTCCCTTCCCCTATAACATAAATAGTCACAGACTCCAGGGATTAGAATGCAGTCATCACTGGGGACACTTATTCTTCCCACCACAGCACCCATTTCCCTGTATTCAATCCCCCTTTACCCCAAATACAGTTAGGGCCTGCGTGATGGGACCCTCAAGGACATGCCTACCAGAAGCTCTGGGATTCAGGAGGTGGGACAAGGAGAATCCCAGACAGGAGCCCTCTGACCTGTGACCATGATCACCAGGGGGTTGCTGGGTGCCGACCACCCACTGGGGGAGTGTGTGTGTGAACCCCGGCATCTATAGGTCCCTGCATGTGACGGGGTCACAGGGCCCATGAAAAGGCTTTTCCAGAATATTCTGTTGTACAGCTCAGGGACAGGCACCCCATCATCCTTGTACAGACTGAAGTTGTTAAACCCAAGATTAGAGTGACACTGAAGAGTCACATGTTCTGGAGGCACCACAAGGCTGGGCCAGGTAGAAAGCAAGGGCTTGTCCTGACCACCTTGGGGTGAAGGAGGCGCCGCCTTAGAGAGGAGGATGTGGAGCTGTGCCTCCCTCCCTGTGCTCAGAAGATTCTCCCCACTTTCCACATTTCTATGGCTGCTATCACACCTTGGTGCCTAGGGCTAAAGGAAGGACCCATCCCACAAAGACAAGGTGTCTCCGTACAACAAAAGTGTCAGCTGAGAACTTTGAGCAAGTGCTGAGTAAGAGACTCCTACTAGATTTTAATACTGTAAGATTACTGACATAAAACAACACAGGGTAGACATGAAGTGGAGGGCATGTCCTTTGAGAATGGAATATCAGCAGTTGCCTGAATGATAATAAAAAACTTAGCCCCCATCAGAGGATTTGGAATGTCAGGGCCATGGCTGTGGTTTCCCACCTCTTCTGGTAGAATGACAGCAGCCACACTGCAGCCCCTACCGTCATGGAAACGCTGAAGTGTGTGAGTAACACCTTTGTCCTCAGAGGATCTGCTGTTCCTACCACTTCCCCACCACACAACCCAGCTTTGAACACCCTAGTCCAACCCTGGTCCCCACACAACTTGACTCTGCCAAGGGGTTGAGAGGCCAGGGAGGCAAGGTCGGAACTGTGGGCCGAGCACCCCAGGGTCCCCTCTTCCTAGTTTATGAGAGACTCCCTGACAGGACTTCCCTCCCGTTTCAGGAAAATCCTCTTATGTGGGGAGATGACACCCTAAGGTTTGGAGAAGGACTTACCCTCCTGTGGCCAGGCCCCCTGCAGCAAGAAGAACCCTGGAAAGAAAGATCATGATGGAAGATCCATTTGCAGGCAAACAAGGCCTTCCTTGCTGCCCCCACTGGGCTGTGAGTCTTGATAGCCAGCCCCTTCCTGGGCCGAAGGGAAACTCACCATCAGTGCCTACCTGCACCCAAGAACAGTGCTCTCGGCTGTGCAGAGACCCAGCCTCCAGGCCCATATCCCCACCCCAAGCCCATATCTCCACTCCAGGCCCATATCTCCACTCCAGGCCGATATTTCCACCCTAGACCCATATAGCCAATCCGGGCCCACATCTCCAATCCAGGCTCAGATCTCCACCCTCGGCCCATATCTCCAATCCAGGCCCATATCTCCACTCCAGGCCCATATCTCCACTCCAGTCCCATATCTCCTCTCCAGTCCCATATCTCCACTCCAGGCCCATATCTCCACCCCAGGCCCAGATCTCCACCTCCAGGCCCATAACTACACTCCAGGATCATATCTCCACTCCAAGCCCATATCTCCACATCAGGCCCATATCTCCACTCCAGTCCCATATCTCCACACCCAGGCCCATATCTCCATTCCAGGCCCATATCCCCATCCTAGGCCCATATCTCCACCGTAGGCCCAGATCTCCACTCCAGGCCCATATCTCCACTCCAGGGCCATATCTCCACCTCCAGGCCCATAACTTCACTCCAGGCCCATAACTCCACTCCAGGCCCATATCTCCACCTCCAGGCCCATATCTCCACTGCAGACCCATATCTCCACTCCAGGCCCATATCTCCACTCCAGGCCCAGATCTCCACTCCAGGCCCAGATCTCCACTCCAGGCCCAGATCTCCACCTCCAGGCCCCTATCTCCACTCTAGTCCCATATCTCCACTCCAGTCCCATATCTCCACCTCCAGGCCCATAACTTCACTCCAGGCCCATAACTCCACTGCAGACCCATATCTCCACTCCAGGCCCATATCTCCACTCCAGGACCATATCTCCACTCCAGGCTCATATCTCCACTCCAGGCCCGTATCTCCACCTCCAGGCCCATAACTTCACTCCAGGCCCATAACTCCACTCCAGGCCCATATCTCCACTCCAGTCCCATATCTCCACTCCAGTCCCATATCTCCACCCTAGGCTCCTACCTCCCCTCCAGGTTCCTATCTCTCCTCCAGGTTCCTCTCTCCACTCCAGGTTCCTATCCCCACTCCAGGCCCATATCTCCACTCCAGGCCCAGATCTTCACTCCAGGCCCAGATCTCCACTCCAGGCGCAGATCTCCACTTCTAGGCTCATCACTCCATCTCTAGGCCCAGATCTCCACTCCAGGCCCATAACTCCACCTCCAGGCCCATATCTCCACCTCTGGGCCCAGATCTCCATCCCCACGCTCCCTCCCTCTATTCCCTTCCAGGACTCACCAACACACGCCATGATGATGACCATGAGCGACATGGTGCTGCCGGTGCAGACAGGCGGCCGCGCCCCAGCTCAGCTCAGCAGCGCACAGGATGTTATTTGGCGCCCTGCCCATGCAGTTTACATGTTGACCACATCATGGGAGGGTGACGTACGCAGGCTTTTTCTACCTTGCATGAGGCCCAGTGGGTGCTCGCTCAAGAGCGGAACATGGCTTCCTGGAAATTGCTCTCACTAGAATTGACACCTCGCGTCCTTCACTATGACCAACTCAAAACATGTCTTAGATCCAACCTCCCAAACATGAGATGCCTAAAATCTGTGCTAACATGAAAGACTTTTCATGAATTTTTATTGTTTTTATCTGAGATTCGAACTCTTCTTCCTGTGTAATATGCAAAATATCTAATAGGTATTATTAGTGTTTTCAGAGTCATTGTGACTAATAAACCATTAGAATTGTTCATGCTTGTATTTCTAGTATTACAGCAGAACCAGTTCAAATGATTTAAATTCCCAGGGAAGGATTATGCAATTATTTACAATCTTAGAATTGTACTTTATCAGCAAAAACCACACATGTAAATTCTGGATTTTTGTAGTTTTATCTATAATTTGTCTCATGACTCAAGATTCCAGAGTCCCAACTTTGGAGTTTGCTCTCTCTCTGTCTCTCTGCCTCCCTCATTTTAAATTTTACAGAAATATCCAGTAACATAATGCTATAGAAAATCAAGTTTCCCCCAGCAGGTCGGGAAGCCGAGGTGGGCGGATCAACTGAGATGAGGAGATTGAGAGCAGCCTGGCCAACATAGTGAAACCGTGTCTCTGCTAAAAATCCAAAAATTAGCCGTGCCTGGTGGCAGGCACCTGTAACGCCAGCTACTCAAGAGGCTGAGGCACGAGAATCGCCTGAACCTGGGAGGCGGAAGTTGCAGTGAGCTGAGATTGCTCCACTACAGTCCCGCCTGGGCGACAGAGCAAGACTCCGCCTCAAGAAAAAAAAATAGCAAGTAGCCTATAATAACAAATTAGAGGGCTCTGGCTACTAAATTTAAAGGGTTTTATAAGGCTACATGAAGTGCAGCATCCTCAAGAGTGTGGACACAGAGAGCCCCTTAGCAGAAACAGTGTCTAAAATACATCCGTGTACACACAGTCCCTTTAGAGTTGACAAAGGCTGCCGTGTGGTTTAAGGTGGCATAGAATGTCTTCTTAATAAATAATATTAAACCAAAGGGTTACACGTAGGAAAAAATAAATCTAAACTTATTCTCACACTATAAAAACACTTCTTACTTTTTATCTAGTTATTGTACATTTTTTATGATTTATATTTAAAATTGAGAAATAAAAGTCATATACGGTCATCCTTTACTATTCGTGGGTGATTGGTTTCAGGATCTCCACTCAGGTACCAAAATCTGCAGATGCTCAAGCCTCTTACATAAAATGACACAGCATTTGGATATAACCCATGCACATCCTCCTGTATACATGAAATCATCTCTTGATTACTTATAATTCCTGATACAGCCTACACACTGCCTCATTTGTGTCCATTCAACATAGTTTTGCATTTTGAAACTTTGTGGACATTTTCTCTGAATATTTTTGATTTACACTTGGTTCAATAAACACCTGTAAACCCCACAGATATGGAGGAGCGACTGTATATTTATAGTATGAAATATGATGTGTTGATATGTGTCCCCGTGGAGATGAGACTAGCAAGGCTTATGACTCTACAAATGTTTCATCGTGGAATGACTCTGCCAGCTTTCCAGGTTGCAGAGAGTAAGAATATCACTTGTTCATGTGATTCACGATCCTTGGAACCTCCTATGTGCTGCATCTTTGGATGGAAATTGGAGTCCCAGAGACAAATGAGGCTCCACCCTGCTTCCAGAAGCTCAGAATCCAGGGGTGAGAACCCAGCGGAGAACAGATGGGGTTATGTGGACATGGTAATGATAACAGCGGTTTCTTTCAGCGAATACAGTGTCACATTACCTGAAGCAATGAGGGCAGACATGTTTATTTGAAGAGGAGACAGCTACATTGAAATCACAAAAAATTTTATAAGTTTCACTGCTGACAGAAGGCTGGAAAATAGTCCGAAGAAAGGTGAAACAGCATGAGGGAAGGTGGAACAGCACGTGGGTAAGTGCCACGTCAAGAGGGAGCCTCTTGTATGTTTGGAATTGTGAGTTCCTCAGTGTGATTGCAGCCTCAAGTAGACTAGGAAGTAAGCCAGTTAGGTTGGAGAGGTGGGCAGGGGTCAAGTGAAATGGAGAACTGTGGGCTAAGCAAAGGAGTGTGTTTTCTTTCCAGCAGGCAGTGGGGACCTAGACATTTGTAAGCAAGAGAGAGGCACCAGATTTGTGGCGTGAGGAGGAGCGATGCCCTAAGATGAAGACTCACGCCTTCAGATTCCAGCTGCTGGTACATGGGAGCTGGCAACTCGGTTTTGAGACAGGGCTGTTGTCTCCCTAGAAGACGTCCTCAAGGCCTGACTGTGGTGCTCATGGGCAGGAGACAACTTTGGATCTGGGCTTAGCATTTGGAAGTTCCGTGTACAAGATGGTATCTGTAGGGGGTGTCTTGGGCCTCTGAGAAGGGCGAGTGATTTTTCTCTGTGTGAAAACGCAGTGATCCAACTGTGCGTATGTCACCTCCTGAGGGTCTTGTTCATCAGAGTCCTGGAGAGAGGGAAATGCTGAGTGAGGGAGGGAAATGCTGAGTGAGGGAGGGTGCTCACGTTTTCCAGGACTGTTTGGGAATAACACTAGCCACGAGGCTGGGCCGAGGAGCACCTACCTCGCTGTTGGCTGTTCTGTTCCCTGCAGGCTCTTGGTCCATTACAGCAGCATCTGTAGGAGACGGAAGTCAACAAAAGAGCTCGGAGGGCACTTCTGGGTCCTCATTTCATAAGCAGATACCAACAAACAGGGGGAGGCCATAGGTGCCTGAGGTCCCTCAGTTGCCAACAGCAGACTCAGACATTCTATCTCTCTGAGCTCAAGGACCCATCCCATGAATAGCTCTGAGTTCCCATCCCATTGATTCTGTCTCCCACTTTCTGCCTCTCATGGAACCTTCTCCTGGATGTGAGTGGCTGCAGGGGACATGAGGATACAGTTCAGAATCAGGCAACGGTCTGTGAGCTGAAGGCAGGGGCAGGGAGTCTGGTGCTCTCTCTAGAAAGTCCTGCCTCTGTGGCTCCTGTCTTGGGCCAGGGACCATCCTGCCAGTGAGGAACACACAGCTGTGTGCTCCCATCCTGCTTCCCCACATGGCCCTGAGCTCTCTGGCCTGTGCCCCGTGAGACTTACTTTTTTTGTTGGAGCACCAGAGATGAAGGAGAAAGAAGAGGAGGAGGATGAAGAGGATGATGACCACTGAGGTCCCAATCAGAATGTGCAGGTGTCTGGGGTTACCTGGAAGAAGAGGAGACACCAGTAAGAAGCTAATCATAGCAGTTTCTCTATATGAATTGTCTTGCATTTCTTGATTGACAGGTAACCACTTACAGCATCTCTTTCGGACAAGCACCCAGATGGCGGGAGATCTAGCTTCCTCCTGCTTTCTCAGTTATAGCTCTCATAGTAACCATGGAACGTGCTGAGGATACAACTACTTTAGTTGAGATGTTTGACCCCTTCAAACCTCACATTGAAATTTAACCCCCAGTGTGGGAGGTTGGGCCTCTTGGGAGGTGTTTGGGTCATGGAGGTGGATCCATCATGAACAGATCAATGCTGTCCCAAGGAGACGGGGTTAGCAAGTTCCCTCTCTATTAGTTCCTGGAGAGCTGGTTGTTAAAAAGAGCTTGGAAGCTCCATTGCTCCCCCTCCCCCTTGCTCCCTCTCTTGCCGTGTGATCTCTGTGGTCTCTGCACAGACAGACCCTCCTTCCCTTCTGCCAGAGTGGGAGCGGCCTGAGGCCATCATAAGAAATAGATGCTGGTGCCATGCTTCCAGTACAGCCTGCAGAATGGTGAGGCAAACCAATCTCTTCTTTAGAAGTTACCCAGGCTCAAGTGTTCCTTTAGAGCAACAAAAATGGACTAAGACAGCAAAGTCCTGAGATCAGGAGGATCGTCCCAGAACAGCCTGGGCTGTCTTCCTGTTCTTCCTGGAGGAGGACGTCATGCAGTGCTTTAGCTGAGTGCTTCCTGTGGCTCCAGGGTACAAAACCCAGGCTGGGCTGCTTTCTGGCTTCCCCCAGCTACACTGCAAATGGGGTGACTCCACATGTCTCGAGCAGCTTTTCTGAGCCTTGGGGAACTGGCTCACATTGAAATGTAGGCTTCTGTTGTCACTCGCTGCTTATCTGTTAGTAATGAACCTGCCTATGTAACGTATTCTCTGTGTGTTCTGTCTCCCTGGAGTGACGGTGAGTGATAGGAATTGGCATAGGCCCAGGTGCAGTCCAGGAGGTGTTTAGAGTCTTCTCTGGGAAGACTGGACTGGGATTGATACACAGCGAATGTGCTTTAGGATTTCTACATCCACGGCATTCTTGAGTTAAACAACTTGCATTCTCCAAGAAAAGGAAACAAAAGTGAAATCAATATAAAAAAAGCGAAGTAGAATTCTCTTATGTCAAACAGCCAGAAAATAGTGTTGAAGCCCGTGTGAAATGTGCTACTCTTTGTGATCTCGGGAGACACATGTTAGGCTGCTGTTCTACCTCAGAGGCTGGGGGAAGGACCACCCCCTCGACTATCTATTGCTTCAATACCACCTGTCCTCCTGTGAATTAGTAGGAAAGGGGAGCAGGAGCTAGTGCTGGCACTGATCTCTGATTCCAAGATCTGGACTCACTCCAAGGAGTATTAGCATTTACCTCCCCATGATCTATCTGTATCTCCACAGGTGATTGGAAGTAGGGGTGAGATGGGGGATTTGGGTGAGGGGGCAAGTTTTTTTTGTGATGACCAGAGCACTTTCTCTATTCCAGGATTTGTGCTGGAGGATTCAGCGGGCTTTCACATTTTCTATATGATCTCATGCTCACAGAAAGCCAAATACGGAAGAGGTTTTAGGCTGATTGCCTAATGGATAAGATAAAGGATCAAAGAAGTAATTATAGAGAAATAGAAAAATGATGATGGGAATTCAGGTGCCTTTGTCATTCGTGTGTGTTTTATTATATTTATGCATTTCTTATTTTTATTTTTTGAGATGGAGTCTCCTTGTGTCACCCAGGCTGGAGTGCAGTGATGCGATCTCCACTCACTGCAACCTCCACCTCCTGGGTTGAAGTCATTCTCCTGCTTCATCCTCCAGAGCAGGAGCTGGGATTACAGGGATGCACCACCATGCTCGGCTAATTTTTGTATTTTTAGGAGAGATAGGGTTTCACCATGTAGAGATAGGGTTTCTCCATGTTGGCCAGGCTGGTCTCGAACTCCTGACTTCTTGGAATCCACTGGCCTTAGCCTCCTGCAGTGCTGGGTTACAGGAGTGAGCCACCGTTCACAGACTTGTATACTATGCTATAATAGGTCCCTTCATTTCCACCACCCCTCATATATCTGTCACTCCTTTGGCAGGTATTGATTTATGTGTAGGAGGAATAAATCTCAGAAAGAAATTAATTTAGCAAGGATTAAACAACTAGGAAACTCAAACCCAGCAAGCCCTCCCTGCAAATGATTCTACCTCCCAAACATAGCTTATATCCATCTGCTTCATCCACTTAGGGTCTAAATCAGCACCACATTTCACCAGTGGGGCGGCAATTGCCTTTTCCACTGTCTCCTAGATTCCAGTTACGCACCTGGGCCTCCCTTATTTTCATGTCAGTCACTATTAATCATGTAGGGATTCCTGGCTACCCCGAGGTGAATCCAATGGCTGTGAGTGTCAAACACACACTCCTTGTTGCTCCTTAGTTTCCTGTGTACCCAGTGTGCTCTCCGTCTCTCCACAGTCGTCTTGTCATTCTCCCCACCTCATTCCCAGCATTTCAGGCAGAGCCTCTTCCTTCCACATCAGATTGTTTTCAGCTTTCTGCCTTCACGGCTGACAGCTGTGTGTGGAAAATCCTTCCGCCAATCTTTCAGGGGTTCAATCCGTGTTTTTCATTAATGTCACAAATATCTGATTAGTGAGACCTTCTCTGTCACCCAAAATTATACACTCAGCATTATCTATTATTTATTTTGAATTCTGGCTGGGCAAAGTGGCTCACGCCTGTAATCCCAGTACTTTGGGTTGCTGAGATGGTCGGATCACTTGAGGTTGGGAGTTTCAGACAAGCTTGGCCAACATGGTGAAACATCCTCTCTACAAAAAATATACAAAAAGAATTAGCCGGGCATGGTGGCAGTTGCCTGTAATCCCAGCTACTCGAGAGGGTGAGGCAGGAGAATCACTTGGATCCAGGAGACGCAGGTTGCAGTGAGCCAAGATCGTGACACTGCACTGTAGCCTGGAAGACAGAGGGAGACTCTGTCTCAATAAATAAATGAACGAACAAACAAATAGATTTCATGCACAGATGCTTCCCAATGGATCATTCATTTATTGGTCCACTTGTGCATTCATTTTCTGTCCTCCCATTTAACCATCTGCAATATCAGTGTCCCAAGAGCAGAGGCCAAATGCATCTTGTTCACCGTTCGTGGAAGGCAGGAGAATGCTGTCCCACCCCAAAATGTCCCTGTCCTAGCCTCCATAGCTTGTGAATATCTTATTTTACATGGAAAGAAGGAATGAAGATTGCAGATGGAATTACGGTTGCTAGTCAGCTGAACTTAAAACAAGGGTATCCTGAATGATTTCCGGGAGATTATGATGGATTTTCATCTTGGTGAACCCAATAGAATCCCCAAGTTTTCAAAAGATAAGGAAGAAGGGAGAGCAGCATTCAGAGAAAGAGGTGTGGTAAGGAAGAAGGGTCTGAGTGATGCCATGTGAGATGTGACCAGTCTTTGTGGGCTTTGAGGAAGGAGGAAGGGGACCAGGAGCCAAGGAACTGGGAGCCTTTAGAAGCTGGGACAAGTGAGAAGCAGATTCTTGCCTGGAATCCTCAGAGGGAAGGCAGCCTTGCTGTCACCTTGATTTTAGCCCAGTAAGATGCACTTCCTACTTTGAGCTACAGCACTGTAAGATAATTAAAAAACCGTTTTGTTTTCACCCACGAATCTTGTGGAAATTTGTTATGGCAACAATAGGAAAGGATTCCAACTGCACAGCCTGAGCATGGGGCCGTGGCTGAATGAGTCAGTGAGTCGAAGTGTGCGTGCATGAGCTCTGTTCTCTGTTACGGCAAGGCTCTTGCTCTGCTGAGTCAGCCAGGGTTGCTTCATGACCAACAGTAATTCATTCCTTGGCAAGTGGAACTTCTCTAAAACACCTCGCCCTCATCAGATGTTCCCTTCCCTTCCCTCTCTCAAGTCCCCAGGAATTTATCCTCCAGTTAGGAATGCAGGAAGAAAAAACACTGCATGTTTCCTGAGAAGGATGTCAGATTGGCAATCATTCTTCTAGCTTGTAGGAGGTCTCACCTGCAGGACATTAAAGGTTAAGAGACTTCGCTGAGCCCTTTGGTGGCCCTAGATCCCTTTCACTGTTGGAGTGTCTGGAGTTCAGAGATGGTGGAAGACAGGCCCTCATTCACAGAGCTGGGAGGTTTGAGCCAACACTTGCATCCAAGGCTTCCACCTCCCCAGGTTTCCAAAAGCAGAGATAAGAGGGGTCCTTTACTCACCAGATTTGGAGCTTGGTTCTGTGGGTGAAGGCCAACTACTTGAAGGGTTTCCTAGAACATGGGACAGGAGAGATGTGAGGAAATGAGGGTGCTTGTCCTCTACTCAATGGAAATCTTTGAGGTTGGTTCATGGCCAACACTCTGTTATCTAATGTTGGACCCTGGGAGTCTTGGGATCCTCTTCTCCATAATTTTTGTGTGCGATGCCCACTGTCTTGAGACTTGAAGGTATAAAGAGAAAACAGGAGCATCACACTACCTGACTTAGAAATATGTTACAGAGCTGTAGTAAGCAAAACAGCATGACATTGGCATAAAGAAAGGCACATAAAAAATGAAACAGAATGGAGAACACAGATATAATCCATGCATTTACATCCAATGGCTTTTTTTGTGTGTGTGTGTGTTAGAATCTTGCTCTGTCATGCAGGCTGGAGTGCAGAGGTGCAATCTCAGCTCAATGCAACCTCCACTTCCTGGATTCAAGCAATTCTCTTGCCTCAAACACCCGAGTAGTGGTATTACAGGCACTGGTCACCATGCTCAGCTAATTTTTGTATTTTTAGTAGAGACGAGGTTTCACTCTGTTGGCCAGCCTGATCTTGAACTCCTGGCTTCAGGTGATCCACCCGCCTCGGCCTCCCAAAGTGCTGGAATTGCAGGTGTGAGCCACCATACCCAGCCCATTTAATGGACTTTGACAAAGGTGCCGAGAACTTACAATCAGGAAAGGACAGTCTTTTCAATAAATGGTGTGGGGAAAACTGGATATCTACATGCAGAGGAATAAAACTGCATCTATACCTGTCACCATACACAAAAATCAAATGAAAATGGATTAAAAACATGAGTCTAAGGCCTGAACCTATGAAACATGTAGAAGAAAATAATGGGGAAGACATTTGTCTGACGAAAGACATTTTGTTTAAAACCTTCAAAACACAAGTAATCAAAGCAAAAAATAGACCATTAGGATTACATCAAACCAAGCAACTTCTGCACCACAAAAGATAAACCAAGAAAGTGAAGAGACAACCGACAAAATAGGAGCAAATATTTGCAAACTATTCATCTGAGACGGGATTAATAACTGGAAATATAAGAAGCTCAAACAACTCAATAAAACAATTTAATTAAAAAACGAGCAAAAGACATGAGGAGACATTTCTCCACAAACAAAACATAGAAATGGCGATCACGTATATGAAAAAGTACTCGGCATCACTCATCATCAGAGAAATGTAAATTACAATCGCGATGAGTTTTCATCTCATCCCATTAAAATGCCTTTTAGGCCGGTGGCTCACGCCTGTAATTCCGGCACTTCAGGAGGCGGAGGTGGGCGGATCACCTGAGGTCGGGAGACCAGCCTGACCATCATGGAGAAACTCCCTCTCTACTAAACATACAAAAATTAGCTAGGCGTGGTGGCACATGCCTGTAATCCCAGCTACTTTGGAGGCTGAGGCAGGAGAATCAGTTGAACGCGGGAGGCGGAGGTTGCAGTGAGCTGAGATCACACCCTTGCACTCCAGCCTGGGAGACTATGAGTGAAACTCCATCTCAACATAAATAAATAAATAAAATAAAGTAAAGTAAAATGGCTTTTACTGCAAGACAGGCAAAACAAATGCTGGCAAGATGGTAGAGAAAGGAGAACCCTGGTACCCTGTTGGTAGGAATGTAAATTAGTACAACTATTATGGAGAAAAGTATGGAAATTCTTTAAAAAACTAAAAGGAGGCTGGGCATAGTGGCTTATGCCTGTAACTTCAGCACTTTGGGAAACCGAGGCAGGCACCTCACTTGAGGTCAGGAGTTTGAGAGCAGCCTGCCCAAAATTGGGATATCCCGTCTGTGCTAAAAAAATACAAAAATTAGCCAGGCATGGTGGCGTGCACCTGTAATCACAGCTACTAGGGAGGCTGAGTCAGGACAATCATTTGAACCTAGGAGGCACAGGTTGCAATGAGCCAAGATCTCACCACTTAGACTCCAGCTTGGACTAAGGAGGGAAACTCTTTCTCAAAAAAGAAAAAAAAAAAAAGAGAACTTTCATAGTGTCCAGCAATTTCACTACTGGGTTTATATCCAAAGGAAAGGACATCAGTGTATTGAAGTGATATCTGCACTCATATGACTGTTCCAGCACTGTTCACAGTAGCCAAGATGTGGAGTCAACCTACCTGCCCATCAGTGGGTGAATGGATAGAGAACTGTGGTACACACACACAGTGGAGACTACTCATCCATAGAAACAATAACATCCTGTCATTTGCAGCCACATGGATGGAACTGGAGGTCATTACAAAGATTCCCATTTCTCACCCACATGCAGGAGATAAAAGGTGGATCTCATGAAGGTGGAGAATACAATGGTGGACACCAGAGGCCAGGAAGGGAAGGGTGGAGGGTAACAAAAAAAAGAATATAGATGTATTTATTTATTTAGAAACAGAGTCTCTCTCTGTCTCCCAGGCTGCAGTGCAGTGGCATGATCTCGGCTCAGTGCAACCTCTGCCTCCTGGGTTTAAGTGCTTCTCCTGCCTCAGCCTCCCAAGTAGCTAGGACTACAGGTGCATGCCAGCATGCTCGGCTAATTTTTCTTGTCTGTTTAGTAAAGATGAATTTCCCACATGTTGGCCAGGGTGATCTCGAGTTCCTGATCTTAAATGATCCACCTTCCTTGGCCTCTCAAAGCGCCGAGATTACAACCGTGAACCACCACACCCAGCATATAAAGGTATTTATGACCACTAGATTTTACTTTTAAAAATGGTAAAGGTGGTAAATTATATAGTTACATTTAACCTCAATAAATATTTTTGAAAATGAAAAGAAAAGGGTGTAGGGGTTGCTGGTGATGATATCTCTCTGTGTGGGTGAGAGGCCATGATGGGCTTCTGGGAAATGGATAAGATTGAGGGGCTGAGGGAACCTCTGATCTCCCCAAACTAAGCCCAGTCTCCCCTTCTCTGGGTCTGTCCTGACCGCTTTCTCCATCTGCCTGGGTGCCTGGAGCCCTGATCGGAGGCCTCCATGCAGGCCATGAAGGAGGGTTTGGAGGTGCCCTGTCTGCCATCCTGCGCCCTGACTCCGCCCTCACACCTGCTGTGTCTTCTCTCTGCATCTGTCCATGCTTTTCTCCATCATCAGCAGGAAGCTCCTTAGCTAAGGATTTAGGATCATAGGACATGAGAGAGATATGGGCTTTTCTCACCTGTGACAGAAACAAGCAGTGGGTCACTCGGGTCTGACCACTCGTAGGGAGAGTGACGGAAAGAGCCGAAGCATCTGTAGGTCCCTCCGTGGGTGGCAGGGCCCAGAGGGAAATCTGCCTGGAATGTTCTGTTGACCTTGCGCACTGCAGGGAGCCTACGTTCATGGGCTCCCCCCTCCCTGGATAGATGGTACATGTCATAGGAGCTCCGGGAGCTACAGGACAAGGTCACGCTCTCTCCTGCCTGAACCTTGGGGCCCGGCTGGGCTGAGAGAGAAGGTTTCTCATATGGACCTGGAAGGAGAAGAGGCAGTTTCCTCAGGGAGGTTCTTCCTTGTCATAGCTCCCCTCATACCTGAGCTGAGAACTCACTCCCCTGCTCTATGACCTAATGCTCTCTCTCTCTCTCTCACCCTCCACCCCATCTCTCTTCATATCTGTTTCCTCCTTCTACCTTTTCTGTCTCTCTAGGTCTATGACCTCACTTCCCCACCCTGAGGTATGTTTTCCCTTTTTGGATTGTTTTATTCTCTCTGACCCTCCTTGGATTGGTTGACTTGATCTTCCTTTTTCTTTAATTTTGAGTCTCTCACTTTCTGTCTTGGTCATAACTTTCTGCACATTTCTATCTATTTATCTATTTTGTGTCTATCTACAAATTATCTATCATCTATATTTATGTATCACTTATCTATCTCTCTATCAATTGTCTATCTGTCTATCTATCCATCAATCATCTATTATCTATATATGTATCATCTATCTCTCTCTCTATTACCTCTCTGTCTGCCTCTCTGTCTCTATTTATGTATCATCTATGTATATATCTATGTGTCTATCATCATCATCGTCATCTCTATGTATCATCTATCAGTCATCATCTATGTATCTATAACCAATCCATTATCTATCATCTACCTATTTATCATCTATCTACGTCTATCTATCCATCTATCATCTCTCTCTCTCCGTCTCCTTGTCTTTCTCTGCCTCTCAGTCTCTCTAGTTCTATTTGGAATCTCTGCAATCCATCCCCACATATTTATCTTTCTCTGTCTTTGTGTCCCTCCCTCAGGGTTCTGATTTTGGGGCTTTTCTCTCCTCCTTTCCATCATTCTCTCCATTCTGCCCTCTTTTCTTTCTTTTTATGTGTCTGTGAATCTCTTAATCTCCTTCTTCTGGCTCATTTTGTGTGTGTTTATGTCTTTGTTTTTTGGTGTCCCTGATTTTTCTCTGTGTCTCTCAGCGATCCTATCATATGTGGGATTATTTGGAATATGAGCCTCAGAATCCAGTCTGGGGACCCCAAGTTCACACAGCATACAGGGGTTGGTGTTCAGGGGCCATGATATCCTGGGATGATTACTCTCCATTGCATGGAAGGCAGAGGTGTCAGAATAAACACGGCATCTGTAGGTGGCACAAGGCCTGAGGCCACAGGGCCCAACTCAGGTCAGAAATATGGGTGTCCTTGGGTTCTTCTGGTAGGAACACTTTGTGGAGGTAAAACAGAAATGAAACTTCTAACCTGTGCCAGGTCTCTGAGCAAAGTCAGCATGGAAGGACACCTCTCTCTGGGACATGTCTGTCTGTCTGAGTGTCTCCTTTACCTCTTTCTCTCTTTTCTACCTCCCTGTATGGCCCCTGTGTCTGTCCTCTGTTATGACACCTGTTCTGTACTTATGTCTCCTGTTTCTCTGTCTCTGTTGGTACAGACCTCACCAAGTCACTCTCTTTCCATAAGAATCCCACACTTATCTTCCTCATGACCACCTGGGGGTTCCAAGTCCTGGATCATTCACTCTGTGTCCCAGTGACAATGAGAACAATGTCTAGACACTCTCACCTGTGACCACGATGTCCAGGGGATCACTGGGAGCTGACAACTGATAGGGGGTGTGAGTAACAGAACCGTAGCATCTGTAGGTCCCTGCAAGGGCAAGCATCATGGGACCGATGGAGAAATTGGCCTTGGAGACCCCATCATGGATCTGTCCAACGAGGCTTGAGGGGTCCTTAGAGATCCCCTCTTTGTGCAGAAAGAAGTGCTCAAACATGATATCTGACCAACATTGCAGGATGACTCTCTCTCCTGATTTCACCAGGGGACCTGGGTGGGCCAGGAGGGAAGGTTTTCTGTGGTTTCCTAGAAAGAGAAGTTGTGAGTTTAGAAGGCATCTCTCTTTATCATCCCATCCATGGCACCTGGAATGAGTGAGGGTTCCCCTCCCCGTGTCTGTCTCTCTCCTCCCTCTCTGCATCTCCGTGTCTTTTCTGTGCCCATATCCCCTGGTGCAGGTGCCTCCATCTGTCTTCCTCCCTCTTCTCTGTCCCTCTGTCTCCAGTAGCCCCTGACTCCCTTGCCACTGTGAAGACAGCCTCATCTCTTGGGCTGTTGTATCTGTTTCCCACTAATCTCTTTCCTGCTGTCTATGTGGGGGTGGAAGAGGACAGGCTGCATGTCCAGGCTCTTAGCAGCCTGAATCAATCTCTTTTGAACAAATCCCCAGTTCAAGTGATTCTCTTGCCTCAGCCTCCCCAGTCGTTGGATTACTCGCGCCCACCACCACATCTGGCTATCCTTGTTTGGTTTCCTAACTTGTCCTTGACCTGGGTTCCTGTGTTGGTTTCCTGTTGCTGCTGCAGAAAATTACCACAAACATGGCAGCGGGAGAGAACACACTGACCCCTTCCACTTCTGGAGACAGAAATTGGATCCAGTTCTCCCTGTGCTGAAATCAAGGTGTCTACAGGGCTGCGTTCCCTCTGGAGAATCAGCGAATCAGTTCTCTTGACTTCTCCAGCCCTTAGAGGCCACCTGCATTCTGTGACTAGTGGTCTTCCTCCACCTTCAAAGCCCGCAGTGGCTGATAGCGTCTCCCTCCCACTACACTGCTCTAATCCCCACTCCCCTCTTCCTCCACCTCTCATGTGGACCCTTGTGATTACACTGAGCCCAGTGGGACAGTCCAGGCTGTCTCCCCATCTCAAGGTCAACTCATCAACAACCTGAGCTCCACCTTCCCCTTCAGTCCCCTGCCCTGTAACATAAATAGTCACAGGCTCCAGGGATTACAATGTAGCCATCATTGGGGACAGTGATTCTTCCCACCACAGCACCCATTTCCCCTGTATTCAATCTCCCTTGACCCCAAATACAGTCAGGGCCTGGGTGATGGGACCCTGACGGACACCCCCACCAGAAGCTCTGGGATTCAGGAGGTGGGACAGTGAGAAGCCCAGACGGAAAGCCTCTGACCTGTGACCATGATCACCACGGGGTTGCTGGGTGCCGACCACCCAGTGGGGGAGTGTGGGTGTGAACCCCGACATGTGTAGTTCCCTGCATGTGCTGTGGTCACAGGGCTCATGTTGAAGCTCTCCTGGAATAATCTGCCATGGAAGATGGGAACGTGGATTCTGTCTTCTTTGTATAGCATGAAATTGTTAAACCTATGACGATAGTGACACCGAAGAGTCACGTGTCCTCCTCGAGGCACCACAGCGCTGGGCCAGGCAGACAGGAAGGGCTTGTCCTGACCACCTGGGGGAGAAGGAGGCACTGCCTTAGAGAGGAGGATGTGGAGCCGCCCCTCACTCCCAGTGCCCAGAAGATTCTCCCCATTTCCACTTTCTAAGGCTCCTACCACACCTGGGTGCCCAGGGCTACAGGAAGGACCCATCCTGCATAGACATGGCGTCTCCCTACAACAAGTGTCAGCTGAGAACTTTGAGCAAGTGCTGGAGAAGCAACTCTTACTAGATTTTAATACTGCAAAATTACTCATATAAAACAACACAAAGTAGACACGGCATGGAGGGCAAGTCCTATGTGAATGGAATATCAGCCAATTGATGAACTGAGCCCCCATCAGAGGATTTGGAATGTCAGGGCCATGGCTGTGGTTTCCTCACCTTTTCTGGTAGAAAGACCACAGCCACACTGCAGCCCCTACCATCACGGAAACGCTGGAGGGTGTGAGTTACACCTTTGTCCTCAGAGGACCTGCTGTTCCTAGCACTGCTTCCCTCTCTTTCTCTGCTGCTGACACCACTTCCTCCCTGCACACCCGTCTTGGAGCACCCTAGTCTCACCCCAGTCTTCACAGAGCTTGACTCAGGAAAGGGAAAGAAAGGCCGGGGAGGGCAAGGTCAGAAATGTGGGCCGAGCATCCGAGGGTCCCCTCTTCCTAGTTTATGAGAGACTCCCCGACAGGACTTCCCTCCCATTTCAGGAAAATCCTCTTATGTGGGGAGATGACACCCTAAGGTTTGGGGAAGGACTCACCCACGTGTGGACCGGCCCTCTGGACCAAGAAGAACCCTAGAAAGAAAGATCATGATGGACCATCCATCTGCAGGCAAACCAGGGCACCCTGCTGCCCCCACTGGGCTGTGCGTCTTGGCAGCCAGGCCCTTGCTGGGCTGAAGGTAAACTCACCCTCGCTGCCTACCTGCCCCCAGGAACAAGGATCTCGGCTGTGCAGAGACTCAGCCTCCAGGCCCAGATCTCTACCTCCAGGCCTAGATCTACACAACAGGCCCAGATCTCCACTCCAGGTCCGTATCTCCACTCCAGACCCATATCTCCTCTCCAGGCTGATAAGTCCACTCCAGGCCCATATCTCCACTCCAGGCTCCTATCTCAACTCCAGGCTCATATATCCACTCCAGGCTCATATCTCCACTCCAGGCCCATATTTCCACTCCAGGCTTCTATCTCCTCTCCAGGCCCATATCTCCTTTCCAGGCTTGTATGTCTGCTCCAGGCCCGTATCTCCACCCCAGGCCCATATCTCCACTCCAGGATCATATCTCCACTCCAGGCCCAGATCTCCACTTCATGCCCTTAACTCCACCTCCGGGCCCATAACTCCACCTCTAGGCCCATATCTCCACTCCAGGCCCATATCTCCACTTCAGGCCCATATCTCTACTGCAGGCCCATAACTCCACCTCCAGGCCCATATCTCCACTCCAGGCCCATCGCTCCACTTCTAGGCCCATCACTCCACCTCTAGGCCCACATCTCCCCTCCAGGCCCATCCATATCTCCCCTCCAGGCCCATATCTCCACCCCAGGCACATATCTCCACCCCAGGCCCATATCTCCACTCCAGGCCCAGATCTCCACTCCAGGCACATATCTCCACCCCAGGCCCCTATCTCCACTCCAGGCCCAGATCTCCACTCCAGGCCCAGATCTCCACTTCAGGCCCATAACTCCACCTCCAGGCCCATAACTCCACCTCTAGGCCCATATCTTTACCTCCAGGTCCAGATCTCCATCCCCGCACTCCCTCCCTCGATTCCCTTCCAGGACTCACCAACACACGCCATGCTGACGACCATGAGCAACATGGTGCTGCCGGTGCAGACAGGCGGCCGCGCCCCAGCTCAGCTCAGCAGCGCACAGGATGTTATTTGGCGCCCTGCCCATGCAGTTTACATGTTGACCACATCATGGGAGGGTGACGTACGCAGGCTCTTTCTACCTTGCATGAGGCCCAGTGGGTGCTCGCTCAAGAGCGGAACATGGCTTCCTGGAAATTGCTCTCACTAGAATTGACACCTCGCGTCCTTCACTATGACCAACTCAAAACACGTCTTAGATCCAACCTCCCGAACACGAGATGCCTAAAATCTGTGCTAACATGAAAGACTTTTCATGTATTTTTATTGCTTTTATCTGAGATTCAAACTCTTCTTCCTGTGTAATATGCAAAATATCTAATAGGTATTATTAAGGTTTTCAGAGCAATTGTGACTAATAAACCATTAGAATTTTTCATGATTGTATTTCTAGTATTACAGCAGAACCAGTTCAAATGATTTAAACTCCCAGGGAAGGATTATGCAATTATTTACAATCTTAGAATTGTACTTTATCAGCAAAAATCACAACATGTAAATTCTGGATTTTTGTAGATTTATCTAGAATTTGTCTCATGTCCCAAGATTTCAGAGTTCCAACTCATGGTTTGCTCTCTCTCTGTCTCTCTGCCTCCCTCATTTTAAATTTTACAGAAATATCCAGTAACATAATGCTATAGAAAATCAATTTCCCCAGCACTTTGGAAGCCGAAGTGAGTGATCAACCGAGGTCAGGAGTTTGAGACCAGCCTGGCCAATATAGTGAAACCATGTCTCTGCTAAAAATACAAAAATTAGCCATGCCTGGTAGCAGGCACTTGTAATGCCAGCTATTCAAGAGGCTGAGGCACGGAATCCCTTGAACCTGGGAGGCGGAAGTTGCAGTGAGCCGAGATCGTGCCACTGCACTCCAGCCTGGGCAACAGAGCGAGACTCTGCCTCAAGAAAAATAAAAAAAGCATAGCAAATAGCCTATAATAAATAACTAGAGGACTCCAGCTACCAAATTTTAGGGGTTGTATAAGGCTGCATAAAATGCAGCATTCTCAAGAGAGTGGACAGAGAGAGAGCCACTGAGCAGAAAACAGTGTCTAAAATACATCCGTGTACACACAGTCCCTTTATAGTTGACAAAGGCTGCCATGTGGTTTAAGGTGGAATAGAATGTCTTCTCAATAAATAACATGGGCCCAAGGGTTACACATGGAGAAAAATATATCTAAAAGTATTCTCACACTATAAAACACTTGTTTATTTTATCTTGTTATTGTAATTTTTTTATGTTTTATATTTAAAATTGAGAAATAAAAATTATATACAGTCATCCCTCACTATTCGTGGGTGATTGGTTTCAGGATCTCCACTCAGATAGCACAATCTGCAGATGCTCAAGCCTCTTACATGAAATGGCACAGCATTTGCAAATAACCCATGCACATCCTCCTGTGTACATGAAATCATCCCTTGATTATTTATAATTCCTGATACAGCCTACACACAGCTTCATTTGTGTCCATTCAACATAGTTTTGCTTTTTGAAACTTTGTGGATTTTTTCTCTGAATATTTTTGATTTATATTTGGTTCAATAAACACCTGTAAATCCCACAGATACAGAGGACCGACTGTATATTTATAGTATGAAAGATGATGTGTTGATATGTGTCCCCGTGGAGATGAGACTGACAAGGCCTATGACTCTACAAATGTTTCATCATGGAATGACTCTGCCAGCTTTCCAGGTCTGCAGAGAGTAAGAATATCACTTGTTCATGTGATTCACGATCCTTGGAACCTCTTATGTGCTGCATCTTTGGATGGAAATTGGAGTCTCAGAGACAAATCAGGCTCCACCCTGCTTCCAGAAGCTCAGAGTCCAGGGGTGAGAACCCAGTGGAGAACAGTTGGAGTTATTTGGACATGGTAATGATAACACTGGAAACTTTCAGCCAAAAAAAGAGTCACCTAAAGAATGAAGGCAGACATGTTTATTTGAAGAGGAGAGAACTACACTGAAATCAAAAAAATTTTATAAGGTTTGCTGATGCCAGAAGGCTGAAAAATAGTCTGAGGAAAGGTGGAACAGCACGAGGGAAGGTGGAACAGCACGTGTCTAAGTGCCGTCTTAAGAGAGAGCCTCTTGTATGTTTGGAATTGTGAGTTCCTCAGTGTGATTGCAGCCTCAAGTAGACTAGGAAGTAAGCCAGTTAGGTTGGAGAGGTGGGCAGGGGTCAAGTGAAATAGAGAATTGTGGGCTAAGCAAAGGAGTGTGTTTTCTCTGCAGCAGGCAGTGGGGACCTTAGACATTGGTAAGCAAGAGACAGGCACCAGATTTGTGGTGTGAGGAAGAGTGATGCTCTAAGATGGAGACTCACGCCTTCAGATTCCAGCTGCTGGTACATTAGAGCTGGCAAGCTGGGTTTGAGACAGGGCTGTTGTCTCCCTAGAAGATCCCATCAAGGCCTGACTGTGGTGCTCATGGGCAGGAGACAACGCTCTGGGCTCAGCATTTGGAAGTTCTATACACACGCTGGTATCTGTTGAGGGTCTCTTGCTCCTCTGAGAAGGGCCAGTGATTTTTCTCTGTGTGAAAATGCAGTGATCCAACTGTGCGTATGTCACCTCCTGAGGGTCTTGTTCATCAGAGTCCTGGAGAGAGGGAAATCCTGAGTGAGGGAGGGTGTTCACATTTTTCAGGACTATTAGGGAATAAGACTGTATCCATGAGGCTGGGCTAGGAGGACCTACCTCCCTGTTCACTGTTCTGTGTCCCGCAGGCTCTTGGTTCATTACAGCAGCATCTGTAGGAGACGGAAGCAATCAAAACAGCTGGGAGGGCACTTCTGGGTCCTCATTTCATGAACAGATACCAACACACAGGGGGAGGCCATAGGTGCCTGAGGTCCCTCAGCTGCCAACAGCCAGACTCAGACATTCCATCTCTCTGAGTGCAAGACCCCATTCCATGAATAGCTGTCAGTTCCCATCCCATTGATTCTATCTCCCACTTTCTGCCTGTCATGGAATCTTCTCCTGGATGTGAGTGGCTGCAGGGGACGTGAGGATACAGTTCACAATCAGGCAATGGTCTGTGAGCTGAAGGCAGGGGCAGGGTGTCTGGTGCTCTCTCTAGAAAGCTCTGCCTCTGGCTCCTGCCTTGGGCCAGAGACTTTCCTGCCAGTGAGGAACACACACCTGCGTGCTCCCATCCTGCTTCCGCACAGGGCCCTGAGTTCTCTGGCCTCTGCTTCGTGAGGCTTACTTTTTTTTTTGGAGCACCAGCGATGAAGGAGAAAGAAGGGAAGGATGGTGAAGAGGATGATGGCCACTGAGTACCTAATCACAGCATGCAGGTGTCTGGCGATACCTGGAGGAAGATGAGAATCCAATAAGAAGCTAACCATAGCAGTTCCTCTTTGTGGATTGTCTCTCATTTCTTGGTTGCCAGGCAACCACATAAAACACCTCTTTAGGACAAGCACCCACGAGGCGGGAGACCCAGCTTTCTCCTGCTTTCTCCGTTATAGTTTTCATAATAACAATAGAATGTGCTGATGATACAACTGCTATTGTTTCAATGTTTGACCCCTCCAAACCCCACTTTGAAATTTAATCCCCAGTGTGGGAGGTTGTGCCTATTGGGAGGGGTGTTTTGGTCATGGGGGTGGATCCATCATGAATAGATTAATGCTGTCCCCAGAGGACGGGTTTAGCAAGTTCTCCCTCTATTAGTACCCTGGAGAGTTGATTCTTAAAAAGAGCTTGGAAGCTCCATCACACCCCCTTTCTCCCTCTCTTGCCATGTGATCTCTGTGGTCTCTGCACACGCAGGACCCCCTTCTCTTCTGTCAGTGTGGGAGCAGCCTGAGGCCGCAGCCAGAAATAGATGGTAGTGTCCTGCTTCTAGTACAGCGTGCCGATCAGTGAGCCAAACACATCTCTTTTCTTTAGAAGATACCCAGGCTCAAGTGTTCTTTTATAGCAACAAAAATAGGCTAAGACAGCAACATCCTGAGATCAGGAGGAACGTCTCAGAACAGCCTGGGCTGTCTTCCTGTTCTTCCTGGAGGAGAACATCATGCAGTGCTTTAGCTGAGTGTTCCCTGTGGCTCCAGGGTACAAAACCCAGGCTGGGCTGCTTTCTGGCTTCCCCCAGCTACAGTGCACATGAAGTGACTCCATGTGTCCTGAGCAGTTTTTCTGAGCCTTGAGGGACTGGCTCACCCTGAAAGGAAGGTTTCTGTTGTCACTCGCTGCTTATCTATAAGTAATGAACCTGCCTATGTAATGTATTCCCTGTGTGTTCTGTCTACCTGGAGTGATGGTGAGTGATAGAAATTGGCACAGGCCCAGGTGCAGTATGGGAGGTGTTTAGAGTCTTCTCTGGGAAGACTGGACTGGGATTGATACACAGTGAATGTGCTTTACAGTTTCTACATCCACAACCCTCTTGACTCAAACAAATTACATTCTCCAAGAAAAGGAAAAAACAGTGACATTGAAATCAACATAAGTGAGGTTGAGCTGTCTTATATCAAACAGCCAGGAAATAATGATGAAGCTCGTGGGCAACATGCTACTTTTGTCATCTTGGGAGTCAGATATTAGGCTGCTGTTCCACCCGAGAGTCTGGGGGAAAGACCACCCCCTCCATCATCTGTTGCTTCAATACAGCCTGTCTTTCTGTGAATTACTCCAAAAGGTGACCAGGAGATAGTGCTGGCACTGGTCTCTGAGTCTACGATCTGAACTCCAAAGAATATTAGTTTTTACCTCCCCATGATCTATCTGTATCATTAATGTGATTGGAAGTAGGGGTGAGGTGGGGGATTTGGGTGAAGGGGCAAGTTTTGTGCCATGAACAGATCACGTTCTCTATTCCAGGACCTGTGCTGGTGGGTTTCACATTTTCCATATGATCTCATGCTCACAGAAAGCCAAATAAGGAAGATGTTTTCGCCTGATTTTCTTATGGATAGGATAAAGGATCAAAGAAGTCATTATAGAGAAATAGAAAAATGATGATTGGAATTGGTGTGCCTTTGTCATTCGTGTATGTTATATTATATTTATGTATTCTTTATTTTTATTTTTTGCCATGGAGTCTCACTCTGTCACCTAGGGTGCAGTGCAATGACGCGATCTTGGCTCACTGTAACCTCTCCCTCCCTGGTTGAAGCCATTCTCCTTCTTCAACTTCCTGAATAGCTGGTATTACAGGCACGCGCCACCACCCCCAGCTAGTTTTTGTATATTTAGTAGAGATGGGGTTTCACCATGTTGTCCAGGCTGATCTCGAACTCCTGATCTCACTTGATCCAGCCTCCTCAGCCTCCCAAAATGTTGGGTTACAGGTGTGAGCCACCGTTCAGAACCTTGTGTGTTATATTATAATAGGTCTCTTCCTTTGCACCACCCCTCATGTATCTCTCACTCCTCTGCCAAGTATTGATTTACATGTAGGAAAAATAAATCTCAGAAAGAAATCAATGAAGTGAAGATTAAACAATTAGGAAAAATCAAACCAGGCAAGCCCTCCCTGCAAATTACTCTACCTCACAAACACATCTTGTGTCCATCTTTCATTCATTTAGTGTCTAAATCAGCACCACATTTCACCAGGGGGGCGGGAATTGCCTTTTCCACAGTCTCCTAGATTCCAGTTATGCACCTGGGCCTCCCTTATTTTCATGTCAGTCACTATTCATCATGTAGGGATTCCCAGTTAGCCCCGAGGTAAGTCCAATGGCTGTGAGTATCAAACACACGCTCCTTGTTCCTCCTTAGTTTCCTGTGTACCCAGAGTGCTCTCTGTCTCTCCACAGTCGTCTTGTCATTCTCCCCATGTCATTCCCAGCATTTCAGGCAGAGCCTCTTCCTTCCACATAACATTGTTTTCACCTTTGTGCCTTCACGGCTGACAGCTGTGTGGAAAATCCTTCCGCCAATCTTCCAGGGGTTGATCTATTTTTTTCATTAAGGTCACAAGTATTATTTGATCAGTGAGAACTTCTCTGTCACCCGAAATTATACACTCAGCATTATCTATTATTTCTTTTAAAATACGGCTCGGCGCCTTGGCTCACGCCTCTAATCTCAGCACTTTGGGAGGCTGAGACGGGCGGATCCCTTAAGGTTGGGAGTTTGAGATAGCCTGGGCAACATGGTAAAACCTTGTCTGTACTAAAAAAAAATACCAAAAAAAAATTAGCCAGGCGTGGTGGGACATGGGTGTAATCCCAGCCTCTCGGGAAGCTGAGTGTAGAGAATCGCTTTAACCTGGGAGGTGGAGGTTGCGGTGAGCCGAGATCCCGCCACTGCACTCCAGCCTGGGGCACAGAGGGAGACACCGTCTCATAAAAACAACCAATCAATCAATCATTCTCATGCACAGATGCTTCCCAATGGATCATTCATTTATTGGTCCACTGGTGTATTCATTTTCTGCCCTCCCATTTAATCCTTTGCAATATCAGTGTCCAAGAGCAGAGGCCAAATGCACCTTGTTTACCATTTGTGGAAAGGATAAGAATGCCGCCCCACCCCAAAATGTTCCTGTCCTAGTCGCCATATCTTGTGAATATGTTATTTTACATGGAAAAAAGGAATGCAGATTGCAGATGGAATTACGGTTGCTAATCAGCTAACCTTAAAAGGAGGGTATCCTAGATGATTTTAGGGAAATTATGATGGATTATCTTGGTGTTTCCAATAGAATGCCAAAGTCCTTAAAAGATGAGGAAGAAGGCAGAGCAGCATTCAGAGAAAGAGGTGTGGACAAGGAAGAAGGGTCTGAGTGATGCCGTGTGAGAGGCGTGACCAGCCTTTGTGGACTTTGAGGGAGGAAGACGGGGACCAGGAGCCAAGGAATGTGGGAGCCTCTAGGAGCTGGGAAAAGTGAGGAAGCAGATTCTTGCCTGGAACATTCAGAGGGAAGGCAGCCTTGCTGTCACCTTGATTTTAGCCCAGTGAGATGATGCATTTCATACTTCTGAGCTACAGCACCATGAGATATTTTTTAAAAATGTGGTTTCCATCCACGAAGCTTGTGGAAATTTGTTATGGCAACATAGGAAAAAGTTCCACACTGCACAGTCTGAGCATGGGGCAGTGGCTGAACGAGTAAGTGGAAGTGTCATGTGCACGGATGAACTACGTTCTCTCTTACCGCAAAGCTCTTGTTCCACTAAGTCAACCAGGGTTGGATCATGACAGACAGGAGCTCATTCCTTGGCAAGTAGAACTTCTCTACAAACACACCACCCTCAAAAATGTTCCCCTTCCTTCCCCTTCTCAAGCCCCCAGGCATTTGTCCTCCCAGTTAGGAATGCAGGCAGAACAAACACAGCATTTTTCCTGAGAAGAATGTCTGATTTGCACTCATCCTTCTACCCTGAGGTCTCAGCAGCAGAAAATTAGAGATTAAGAGATTTCACTGAGCCCTGTGCTGGGCCCAGATCCCTTTCGCTGTTGGAGTGTCTGGGGTTCAGAGACAATGGAAGACAGGCCCACAATCACAGAGCTGGCAGGTGCTGAGCCAACGCTTGAATCCAAGGCTTCTACCTCCCCAGGTTTCCAAAAGCAGAGATAAGAGGGGTCCTTCACTTACCAGTTTTGAAGCTTGGTTCAGTGGGTGAAGGCCAACTACTAGAAGGGTTTCCTAGAACATGGGACAGGAGATAGGTGTGGCAATGAGGATGCCTGTCTTTTCTACTCAATGGAAATCTTTGAGGTTGGTTCATGGCCAACCTTCTATTATCTAATGTTGGGCCCTGGGAGTCCTGGCATCCCATTCTCCATAATCATTGTAGGTGACACCAACTATCTTGAGACTTCAAGGTATAAGGAGAAAACAGGAGCATCACACTACCTGACTTAAAAATATGTTACAGAGCTGTAGTAAGCAAAACAACATGACATTGGCATAAAGAAAAGCACATAAAACAATGAAGCAGAATGAAGAACACGGATGTAATCCACCCATTTACATCCAATGGACTTTGACAAAGGTTCGAAGAATCTACAATCTGGAAAGGACAGTCATTTCAATAAATGGTGCAGGGAAAACTGGATATCTACATGCAGAGGGATGAAACTGCACCTCTACCTCTCACCATACACAAAAATCAGATGAAAATGGATTAATGACTTAAGACCTGAATCCATTAAATGTCTAAAAGGAAACACTGGAGAAATGCTCCAGGACATTTGTCTGAGGGAAGACATTTTGTTTAAAACCTCAAAAACACAAGTAATCACAACAACAACAAAAAAAATAGACCATTGGGATTATATCAAATCAAGCAGCTTCTGCACCGCAAAGGAAGCAACCAATGAAGTGAAGAAGAGAAAACCCACAGAATGGGAGCAAATATTTGCAAACTATGCATCTGAGATGGGATTAATAACTAGAATATAAAAGAAGCTCAAACACCTCAATAAAACTAATAATTTAATTATAAAATTAGTAAAAGACCTGAACAGACATTTCTCAATGAACAAAACATACAAATGAACATATATACATTGCATATATGAAAAAGTGCTCAGTATCACTAATCATCAGAGAAATGCAAATGAAGTCACAATGAGCTATCATCTCACCCCATTACAATGGGTTTTATCTCAGAGACAGACAAAACAAATGTTGGCAAGGTGGTGGAGAAAGGAGAACCCTGATACACTGTTGATAGGAATGTAAATTAATACAGCCATTACAGAGGAGAAGAATATGGAAGTTCCTTAAAAACTGAAAAGAGATTAGGCACTGTGGCTCACGCTTGTAATCCCAGCACCTTGGGAGGCTGAAGTGGGCAGATCACTGGAGGTCAAGAGTTCGAGACCAGCCTGGCTAACATGGTGAAACCCCGTCTCTACTAAAAATACAAAAATCAGCCAGGCTTGGTGGCGGGCACCAGTAATCCCAACTACTCGGGAGGCTGAGGCTGGAGAATCACTTGAATCCTGGAGGTAGAGGTTGCAGTGAGCCCAGGTGGTGCCATTGCACTCCAGCTTGGGCAACAAGAGTGAAACGCTATGTCAAAAAAACAAAAAGCATAAAACAAAACCTAAAAAGAGAACATCCAGAGGATCTAGCAATTCCACTAGTGGGTGTAAATGCAAAGAAAAGGACTTCAGTGTATTGAAGTGACATCTGCACTCCCATGACTGTTCCAGCACTGTTCACAGTAGCCAAGATGTGGAGTCAACCTACCTGCCCATCAGTGGATGAATGGATAGAGAGAATGTAGTACATACACACAATGGAGACAACTCATCCATAGAAAGAGTAACGTCCTGTCATTTGCAACCACATGGATGGACTAGAGGTCATTACAAGGATTGCCATTTCTTACTCACATGCAGGATGTAAAAGGTGGACCTCATGAAGGTAGAGAGTAGAATGGTGGATACCAGAGGTTAGGAAGGAAGGGGTGGAGGGTAACAAAAGAAGAATATAAAAGTATTTATTTATTTATTTATTTAGAGACAGAGTCTCTCTGTGTCACCAGGCTGCAGTGCAGTGGCATGATCTCAGCTCACTGCAACCTCCTCCTCCTGGGTTTAAGCCACTCTCCCGCCTCAGCCTCCCAAGTTGCTGGGATTATAGGCGCCTGGCACCATGCCTGGCTAATTTTATTTTTTTTGTCTTTTTAGTAAAGATTGGTTCCCCCATGTTGGCCAGGCTGGTCTCCAGCCCCTGATTTTAAATGATCCACCTGCCTTGGCGTCTCAAAATGCTGAGATTACAGGCGTGAGCCACCGCACACAGCATATAAAGGTATTTATGATCCCTAGATTTTACACTTAAAAATGGTAAAGTTGATAAATTATATAGGTATATTTAACCTCAATCAGCATTTTTTCAAAGGAAAAGAAAAAGTGTAGGGGTTGCTGGTGATGACATCTCTGTGTAGGTGAGAGGCCAGGGTGGGCTTCTGGGAAATGGGTAAGGTTGAGGGGCTGAGGGAACCTCTGATCTCCCCAAACTGAGCCCAGTCTCCCTCCTCTGGGTCTGTCCTGACCACTTTCTCCATCTGCCTGGGTACCCGGAGCCCTTACTGCAAGCTTCCATGCAGGCCATGCAGGAGGGTTTGGAGGTGCCCTGTCTGCCATCCTGTGCCCTGATCCCGCCCTCACACCATGCTGCATCTTCTCTCCACATCTGTCCATGCTTCTCTCCATCATCAGCAGGAAGCTCCTCAGCTAAGGCTCTAGGACCATAGGACATGGGACAGACATTGGCTTTCCTCACCTGTGACAGAAACAGGCAGTGGGTCACTCGCGTCTGACCACTCGTAGGGAGATCCATGGAAAGAGCCGAAGCATCTGTAGGTCTCTCCGTGGGTGGCAGGACCCAGAGGGAAGTCGGCCTGGAATGTTCCATTGATGCTGGGCACTGCAGGGAGCCTAAGTTCATGGGCTTCCCCCTCCCTGGATAGATGGTAGATGTCAAAGGAGCTCTGGGAGCTGCAGGACAAGGTCACGTTCTCTCCTGTGCGAACCGTGGGGCCCGGCCGGGCTGTAAGCGAAGGTTTCTCATATAGACCTGGAAGGAGAAGAGGCAGTTTCCTCAGGGAGGTTCTTCCTTGTCACAGCTCCCCTCCCACCTGAGCTGAGAACTCACTGCCCTGCTCTATGGCCTAGTGCTCTCTCTCTCTCTCTCACCCTCCACCCCCAACTCTTCCTGTCGATCCCTCCCTATGTGGTTCCAGCCTGGTGGTGGCATCAGCAGTGCACCCTTGCTGATCTCAGGGTAGCCAACCTTCTTGTTTGGTTTTTTAACTTGTCCTTCACCTGGGTTCCTGTGTTGGTTTCCTGTTGTTGCTGGAGAAAATTATCACAAACATGGCGACAGGAGAGAACACACTGACCCCTTCCACTTCTGGAGACAGAAATCAGACCCTGTTCTTCCTGGGCTACAATCAAGGCATCTGCAGGGCTGCATTCCCTCTGGAGACTCGGGAGAATCAGTTCCATTGATTTCTCCAGCCCCTTCGTGGCTCGTGGTCTTCCTCCACCTTCAAAGCCCACAGTGGCTGGTGGAGTATCCCACGATGCTGCTCTAATCCCCATTCTCCTCTTCCTTCTCCACTCATATGGACCCTTGTGATTACACTGAGCCCAGTGGGAGAGTCCAGGCCATCTCCCCATCTCAAGGTCAACTCATCAACAACCTGAGCTCCATCTTCCCCTTCAGTCCCCTGCCCTATAACATAGTCACAGGCTCCAAGGATTACAATGTGGCCATTGATGGGGACAGTTATTCTTTCCAACACAGCACCCATTCCCCTGTATTCAATCCCCCTTTACCCCAAATATAGTTGGGGCCTGGATGATCGGACTCTGGTGGACACCCCCACCAGAAGCTCTGGGACTCAGGAGGTGGGACAAGGAGAAGCCCAGACAGGAGCCCTCTGACCTGTGACCATGATCACCAGGGGGTTGCTGGGTGCCGACCACTCAGTGGGGGAGTGCGGGTGAAAACCTCGACATCTGTAGGTCCCTGCGTGTGCTGGGGTCACAGGGCTAATGAGGAAACTGTTCCAGAATATTCTGTTGTAGAGCTCAGGGACAGGGACCCCATCTTTCTTGTACAGCGTGAAGATGTTAAACCCACGACGATAGTGACACCGAAGAGTCACGTGTCCTCCTTGAGGCACCACAGCGCTGGGCCAGGCAGAGCAGAAGGGCTTGTCCTGACCACCTTGGGGAGAAGGAGATGCCGCCTCAGAGAGGAGTATGTTGAGCTGCCCCTCCCTCCCTGTGCTCAGAAGATTCTCCCCATTTCTTCTTTCTAAGGCTCCTACCACACCTGGGTGCCTGGGGCTACAGGAAGGACCCATCCCGCATAGACGTGGCGTCTCCCTACAACAAAAGTGTCAGTTGAGAACTGAGCAGGTGCTGAGTAAGGGACTCTTACTAGATTTTAATACTGCAAGATTAGTTACACCAAACAACACAAAGTAGACATGGGGTGGAGGGTATGACCTTTGTGAATGGAATATTAGCTAATGCCTGAACCACAATAAACAACTGAGCTCCATCAGAGGATTTGGAATGGCAGGGTCGTGGCTGTGGTTCCCCCACCTCTTCTGGCAGAATGACAGCAGCCACACTGCAGCCCCTACCGTCATGGAAACGCTGGAGGGTGTGAGTTACCCTCTTGTGCTCAGAGGACCTGCTGTTCCTAACACTGCTACCCTTCCCTCCTCTGTCGGTGACACCACATCCCCCCACACACCCCAGCTTTGAGCACCTCAGTATCCCGCCTGGGCCACACAGAGCTCAACTCAGCCATGGGGAAGAAAGGCTGGGGAGGGCTAAGACAAAACAGAGGGCTGAGCATACCAGGATCTCCTCTTACTAGTTCATGAGAGACTCCCAGGATCTCCTCTTACTAGTTCATGAGAGACTCCCAGGATCTCCTCTTACTAGTTCATGAGAGACTCCCAGGATCTCCTCTTACTAGTTCATGAGAGACTCCCCCCAGGCCTTCCCATGGTCAGCCCATCAGCCCACCCTCTGTGCTGCCTCCCTCCCATTTCCGGAAAATTCACTTGTATTGGGGTGAAGATGGCAACCCATCATTTGGGGAAGGACTCACCCACGTGTGCCCACACACTCTGGTCCAAGAAGAACCCTGCAAAGAAAGATCATGATGAACTATTCATCTCGGCACCAACCTACCCTTTCCTCCTGAGCCACTGGGCGCCACGCTGGACTGAAAATTAACTCATCCTCACCACTCACTTGCTTCAGAACATGGCTCTCTGCTGGGGAGACACCCAATCTGCAGGCCCATAGTGTAACCCTGGTGCTCCTTCCCTTCCAGGACTCACCAAGACATGCCAGGATGATGACCGTGGGTGACATGGACATGGTGCAGCTTCTGCTGCCAGGACGCAGTGACTCGGCTCGACTGACCGGTGCAGAGGATGTGGTGAGGGGCCCGGATCGTGCAGTTGACACATTGACCACAACATGTGAAGGGGACATAGGTAGGCTTCTTCTACGTCATATGAGGTTCAAGTGGTGAGTCAGTCAAGGGAGGAATGAGGGTTTCTGAAAACTGCAGACTAGACTTGTCAGTTCACATCATGCGCAATGGCCAGGCTCAAAACACATCTCAGACTCACTTACCCCTGCACGGGACGATTGAATTCTGCACTCACATGAGGAACTTTTGATGTATTTTTTTTTGTTTCTACCTGAGATTCAAACTCTCCTTGATATGTAATATGCAAAATACCTAATAGGTTTTATTAACACTATAGAGCAATCGTATTAAATAAATCATCATAATTTTCCATGGTTGTATTTTTCCTGTTAAGCCAGAAACAGATAAAATGATTTAAATCCCAGTAGAAAAGACTATATAGTTATTTCACATCATAGAATTCCACCTTATTAGCAAAAACACAATATGTCAATTGAAGGTCTGGTCGTGTTATCTAGAATTTGTCTTATGACACAAGAGTCCAAATTCACAGTTCCCTGTCTCCCTTTTTGTCTCTCTGTAACGTGTGCTTTTTTTCTCCCTGTGTTGTTTGTGTGTCTTTCTTTCTCTCTCTCATTTGAGGAAAAAATATCAGACTGATAACATCCTCCAACTTGATACTGGAATATTGCAATAACTGAAGGTTGAAATCTACACATTTAATGTGCTGTCATTCTTACAAATGTCTCTTATTTACACCTACCTTTCTGGAGTTTGTAAGAACTTTTTCACTATGCATTTTAAATTTGTAAAACTCATAATTTTTAAAAAGGGATGGGTCTCACTGTTTGCCCAGGGTGGCCTTTACTCATTCTATAAGGCTGGCATCACCCTGATACTAAAGACAGAAAAGAATATTAAACAAAAGAAAACTACATGCCAATATTCCTGATGAGCATAGATGCAAAAATCCACAAAAAATACTAAGAACTGAATCCCGCAGCATATCAAAAAGTGAATCCACCATGATCAAGTCAACTTTATTCTTAGGGTGCAAGGTTGGTTGAACATACACAATCAATACATGTGATTCATCACCTAAACAAAACTAAAAACAAAAACCACATGATCTTCTCAACACACATGTAGAACATACTTTTTACTAAGCATTTCTTCATGTTAAAAGCCCTCAACAAGCTAAGCATTGAAGAAACATAACTCAATATAATAAGAGCCGCCTATGACAAACCCACAACCAACATCATACTGAATGAGTAAAAGCTGGAAGAAGTTCCCTTCATAAGTGAAACAAGACAAGAATGCCCACTCTCACCATCCTATTCAACATAGTACTTGAAGTCCTAGACAGAGCCATCAGGAAAGAGAAAGAATTATAAGGCATCCAAGTAAGAAGAGAGTAGCAGAGAGAGGTAGTCAAATTACCTCTGTTTGAAGATGAGATAATTTCTATACCTAGAAACCCCATAGTCTCTGCCCAAAGGCTCCTACATCTGAGAAACAAACTTCAGCACAGTTTAAGGGCAGAAAGTCAATGTACAGGCTGGGTGTGGTGTCTCAGCCTGAAATCTAGCACTTTGGGAGGGCGAAGCGGGTGGATCACCTGAGGTCTGGAGTTCGAGACCAGCCTGGCCAACATGGCGAAACCCTGTCTCTACTAGAAACACAAATATAGCCGGACGGGGTGGTACGCAACTGTAGTCCCAGCTGCTTGGGAGGCTGAGTCAGGAGAACCGCTTGAACCTGGGAGGCAGAGGTTGCAGTGAGCGGAGATCACGCCATTGCACCTCAGCTTGGGCAACAACAGTGAAACTGCGTCTCAAAAAAAAAGCCAAAACAAATTTAATTAATGAGGAAAAGGGTATTTGTGGTGTCCATGATGATGTTTTCATATAGGTACACATTGTGGAATGGATGAAACAACCTCTTTATCTATTTATTTTTTCACATACTTGTATGTTTTGTGTGTGTGGTGAGAACATGTAAAATCTAATCTCTTAGTAATGTTCAATACACCATATGTTGCTATTAAATGGAGTCACCAAGACATACAATAGATCTCTTGAACCGATTTCTTCTAACTGAAATTTTGCATCCTTTGACCAACATCTCTTCAATCTCTCTCCTTCCCAGGTTCTTTCGACGACCATTTTACTGTTCCTCTAGGTTCCACTTCTTACACTCCACACATGAGATCATGTGGCATTTGTCTTTCTGTGCCTGGATTGTTTCCCTTAACATAATGTCCTCTAAGTTTTTTCACATTGTCACAAATGAGAGGACTTCCTTCTTTGTTGTAAAGGTTGTATAGTACTTCATTACGTTCCTATCGTATACCACGTTTTCTTTGTCCATGCACCCATAGATGGGCAGTAAGGGTGATTCCACATCTTGGCTGTTATGAATAATGCGGCTGTAAACATGGGAATGCAGATATCTCTTCAACATACTGATTCCACTTCCTTTGGATACATGCGCAGTAGTTGGATTGCAGACACATATGGGAATTCTATGTTTAATTTTTTCAGGAACTTCCAGACTGTTTTCCATAATGGTTGTGCTAATTTACATTCCCATCAACTGCATACAAATGTTCCCTTTTCTCCACATCCTCGTTAACCCTTGTTATTTTTTATGTTTTTGATAATGGTCTTTTTTTTTTTTTTTTTGAGACTCAGTCTTGCTCTGTCACCCAGGCTGGAGTGCAGTGGCACAATCTCGGTGTACTGCAACCTCTGCCTCCTGGGTTCAAGCGATTCCCCTGCCTCAGTCTCCAGAGTAGCTGGGACTACAAGTGTGCGCCACCAAACTCTGCTAATTTTTGTATTTTTAGTAGGGATGGGATTTCACCATATTGGCCAGGCTGGTTTCGAACTGCTGACCTCAGGTAATCTCCCTGCCTCGGCCTCCCAAAGTGCCTGAATTACAGGCATGAGCCACCATGCCCAGACTGTTAATGGTCATTCTAAGAGGTGTGAGGTGATATCTCATTCTAGTTTTAATTTTTATTTAGCTGATGTTTAGTAATGCTAATCATTTTTTCATATACCTTTTGGTGATTTGTCTTATTCTTAGAAATGTTTATTCAGATACTTTGCCCATTTTTTTAAGTTGGGTTATTTGATTTCTTACCATTGAGTTGTTTGAGTTTCTTACATATTTTGGATATTAATTCCTTATTAGATGTATGGGTGCAAATATATTCTCCCATTCCATAGGTTGTCTTTCCACTTGTTGAGTTTTTTTTTTTCTTTGCAGAAACTTTCAATTTGATATAATGTTATTTGTCTACTTTTGCTTTTGTTGCCTGGGCCTTTGGGTTAATATCCAAAATGGTTTTGCCCAAGCCAGTGGAGTTTTCCCTTGATTTCTTTTAGTAGTTTTTTTTTTTTTTAAGATGGAGTCTCACTCTGTTGCCCCGGCTGGAGTGCAGTGATGCGATCTCGGCTCACTGCAACCTCTACCTCCTGGGTTCAAGTGATTCTCCTGTCTCAACCTCCCGAGTAGCTGAGATTACAGGCACCCACAACCACACCCAGCTGTTTTTGTATTTTTAGTAGAGGCGGGATTTCACCATGTTGGCCATGCTGGTCTTGGAATCCTGACCTTAGGTGATCTGCCCGCCTTGGCCTCCCAAATTGCTGGGATGATAGTCTTTCATCTTACATTTAAGTCATTAATCTATCTTGAGTTGACTTTGTATGTTTTGTGAGGCAAATGTCCACTTCCATTCTTCTGCATGTCTCCCAATCCCATTTATTAAAGAGACTGTTCCTTCTCCATTGTGTGTTCTTGATACATCCCAAAAATTGTTTGACCCTAAATGCGTGCATTTTTTTTCCTGGGCTATGAATCACTTCCATTGGTCTATGTGTCTGTTTTTATGCAAGTACTGTGTTGTTTTAATTACTGTAACTTTGTAATGTAGTTTGTGTTTAGGTAATGTGATGCTTCCAACTTTGTTCCTTTCCCTCTAGATGGCTTTGGTTATTTGAGATCTTTTGTGGTTCCACATGAATTTTAGGACTGTTTTTTCTATTTCTGTAAAAAAAAATGTCATTGGATTTTTGATAATGGTTGCATTGAATCACTTTGGATAGAATGGACATTTTAACAACATTAATCCTTCTGATCCGTGAACATGGAATATCTTTCGATTTATTTGTTTATTTCTTGAGTTTTTTCATCAATGTTTTATAGCTTTTGCATACAGATCTTTCTACTCCTTGGGTGAATTTATTCCTGCATGTTTTGTTTTCTGTAGTTATTGCAAATGGGCTTATTTTCTTGTAAACTTTTTTGGATAGTTTGTTGTTAATGTATAGAAACTTTGTTGTTGTTGTTGTTGTTGTTGTTTTGATGATACCCATCCTAAGGGGTATGAAATGGCATCTGGTGTAGTTTTAGTTAGTATTTCCCTAATGATTCGTGATGCTGAATATCTTGTCATGCGTATGTTCTTTGGAGAAATGTCTGTTTCAGTACTTTGCCCATTTTTGAATTGAGTTTATTGTGATTGAGTTTTAGGAGTTGTCTGTATATTCTGGATGTTAATCCCTTACAGGTGGTGTGGTTTGAAAACATTTTCTCCCATTCTGTGGGTTGTCTTTTTACTTTGATAATATCGTCTTAAAAGTTCTTTTTCCTTGCCATGTGAAGTAACTGATGTTGTCTTTTGAGTCACAATATTTCAAAATTTTCATAAAGTCTAACTTGTTTATTTTTTCTGTAGTAGCCTGTGCCGTTGTTGTCACATCTAAAGAATCACTGCCAAATCCGATGTTGTGAAGTTTTCCTTTGTGTTTTCTTCTAAGACTTTAATTAAATTTTATTTGTCAATATTTAGGACTGACAAAAGCTTTTTAACATTCCTGGCACCATCTCAGTTATTGATCTACTCCCAAGATGGATCATTTCAATTAAAACATGTAAAGCATGACCTCACCTGAATGTGTTTGAACTTGCTCTTCTCCCTTTCAAATCGACTCCCTCACTTACATAGTTTGTGTTCAAATGTCAACAAATAAAACATAAAAAGAAATCAATCTTTTCATAGACCCTTTATCTAAAATAGAATAGTAGGTGCCATGACATTTCATCCTTTCATCTTGAATTATTTACTTTTCTACATGAACCAATCCATTCTTCTGTGTGCATGTGTGTGTGTGTGTGTGTGTGTAGTTTATCTGTCTACATATAATGTAAACACCAAAAAATAACAGACATTTAGTAATTTTCAAATGAGACTTCAGGAATTAACAATGGCTTGCCATTTTTAGTGTGTTATTATTATTATATTTAGATGAACAGAATTGCCTCAGGAACATGGCCAGGGGCTCATAGTCCAGGAGAACTGTGGCCTGACTCAGGTACATTTTACCTGCAATAACAGCAATTGCAGGTCACTGGAGTCCATCACAATTGGCTGGAGACAAATGTAAGACAAGAATATTTGCAGTTTCCCCAGACTGACACAGTTGCAGGTTCCCCGAAGTAATGAGTCCTGAGACACCTCCAACAAGAGCTAGAAAAGGTATCACTTCAAGAGGAGTTGCAGCCTACTCATTTTAGACAAATGGAGCAAAATTACAGTATCACATCTTTTCCTTTCTCCTTCATAGAATCTGGATGAACAGAACAGAAAGAGTTAATAGAATATAAGATTCCAATTCTCTGGCATGAGAAAATAGACAAGGAAAGGAAGATTCATCTTCATCACATCTCAGACATGCTTGGACACAGGGTCCAAGCACAAAAGAGAAACACATACTTCTTCCCATCCACACTGGGATCCAGGGTCTTCTCCCTCCTGTCAGGCCAGAACTGAGTCTCCACTCCCCAATTTAGTTCCCAGAGATGAAGCCCAATTTTCCTCTGTCTCAAGCTTTGAAGGCCAGCTTTAGCGTGTTCACCATGGATGAATGAAGGTGAGGTCAGAGGTTTGGGAAATGGTCAAGAATGAGGTGAGAAGAGAGCTGTGGAGGCATGGCCCCGGGGAGCTTGGTACCCCCCCATATCCAGAGCCTGTCTGGTCCAGGAGAGTTCCCAACCCTGTGAGCACCAACTCCGGATATTCTGGGCAGTGACCCGAGGGACAGCCTCTTATGAATACAGGCTGTTTTCCTCCAGTGTCTGCTGTGAAACCAGGATGTACAACATGGCCGTGTTCAACCCAACAATGGACTTAGGATTTTGCTGTACGCCAAAACTCAGTGTCCAACTTCCACTCTGTTTAGCTGGAAAAAGAAGGGGTTTGTTCCCATACATCTCACTCCTGTGTTCCTCTTTCAGTCTCAAAGCTCAGATGAAAACAATGAGTGTCACTTATTGTCAATCCTCTTCCCTGCCTTTTCCACACTCATCAGTATTACCGTTTACATTGAGACTAAAGATGGCCAATCACCACTTTTCTTCGGAAAAATCAACCTGATGTTGTACCTACTTTTTTAGAGGTGGAATCAACCTACCCTAAGATGCCAACTACATTTTACTGAATGGACTTTTGTGGATCCCCTCGATGTATATAGTGGCACCTTGAGGTATCATCCCTGTCTTTAGCAAATGAATATTATCCCAAGGACAATATTTCATCACAATTATTCGGGATGGACGAGTGGATATTGTGGTAGCAAGAACATTACTAAAAGTCACAGCTGATACAACACACTTGAAACCCATCTGGCCAATCTCCCACAGACAGAATGTCGCGCCATTCACTCCAGCCAGCTTCAGTCATGTTTCTTCCATTTCCACCTGTGGCCCCTCATGTCTCCACCAGGTCTTAGCCAGCATTGCCAAAAGAGCCAGGAAGACCAGACCAGCCACAACAATCCTGATGGAACTCTCCACAGTATAGTTCTGGAGAACAGGGGCTGGAGGGTGGGGGTAAGATCAGAGACCTTTCCATGTGGGCCAGGCCCCTCTCTCCCCAGAAGCTCTGAAATGGAGCTATTTCCCCATCTCACCTTCATAAAATTCTTCCTGTCCAGAACCCCTCTTCTCCCTATATCATCATGAGCACCTTCAGAAGTCTTTTGCCACAAAAAGAAATTTCTTTTGAAGATATACATTTTTTTGTACATTTCAAAAATGTTCCCAAACTAATTCTCCAAAGCAATAAATGTTTGTGTGTATTGCTGGGTAGGTTATGCATACAAGGAAAGGAAGCATAGTGAGTCTGATTTGGCAGAGGAAACATATGTGGAAATTATATCATTTACTCTCTTTACAAAATTAAGTACAAAATTGAAAACACTGGTAAGAAAGAATGAGCTATAGAGAAAGAAAACATCTGAGATGCTTGTTTCCAAGATGGCTGACTAAATGCTTTTCTGGCATGTCTCATCCACTTAGAAGAACGAGCAGAATCCAGAACAAAAACCATATGATCATCTCAATAGACATAAAGAAAAGCATCTGAAAAGAAATTCAACATCCTTACCTGATGAAAACCCTCAAAAACTTAGGCATAGAAAGAACATACCTCAAAATAATAAAAGCCATAGATGACATATCTAGAGTCAACATCATACTGAACAGGAAAAGTTAAAAGCACTCCTCTGAGAACTGGCACAAGACAAGGACACGGACATCCACCACTTCCTATCAACATAGTACTGGAAGCCTTGTCAGAGCTATTGGGCAACAGGAAGAATTAAAAATCCAAATTAGAAAAGAGGAAGTAAAATTATTTTTATTTCTGATGCTATGATCTTAAATCTAGAAAATCCTAAAGACCCTGCCAAAAATTCTTATGATTGATAAATGAACTAAGTAAAGTTTCAGAATACAAAATCAATATGTAAAAGCCGGTAGCATTTCTCTACACCTATAATGATCTAGCTGAGAACCAAATCAAGAAGGCAATGCCGTTTACAATAGATACGCAAAATTAAAACACTCAGGAATACATTTAACCAAGGTGGTGAAAGAGCTGTACCAGGAAAGGTGTAAGACACCAATGAAAGCAATTATAGATAATACAAAAAAAAAAAAAGAAAAAAAATCCCACGCTCATGGATCATAAGAATTAATATTGTTAAAATGACCATACTGCCTAAAGCAATCTACAGATTCAGTGCAATTCTTATATGAAAATAGTAACACCAGCTTTCACAGAATTAGAAAAAGCAATCCTAAAATTCATACAGAACCAAAAAAGATCCTAATAGAGAAAGCAATTCTAGGTGAATGTAGAAACCTGGAGGCATCACGCTATCTGACTTCAAACTATGCTCTAAGGCTATAGTAACTTAAATAGCACAGTGCTGGTATAGACACAGAAACAGAGATCAATAGACCAGAATAGAGAGCCCAGAAATACAGCCTCATATCTACAGTGAATAATCATTGACGACGTTAACAAAACATACACTGGAGAAAGATTTCCTTTTCAATAAAAGGTGCTGGGAAAACTAAATAGCCATATGCAGAAGAATAAAACTGGACCTGTATCTGTAATCATACACATAAATTAACTTAAGGTAATTAGCAGCTTAAATGTAAATCCAGAACTATAAAATCACCGGTGGAAACCCAAAGAGAAACTCTTCTGGGCATTGGTCTGGGCAAAGAATTCATCACTAAGACCTCAAAAGCACAGGCAATAAAAATAAAACTAGACCAATGGGACTTAATAAACGAAAGAGCTTCTGCCAAGCAAAGGAAATAGTAGCAGGGTGAACAGACAACCCACAGAATGAATGGAAATGTTTGCAAACTATGCACCCAACAGAGGACTAACATCCAGAATTTCTAGGCAACTCAAACAACTAAACATAACCCCTCAAATAATAGCATTAAAAAGTGGGCAAAGGGATATACATAGACATTTTTCAAAAGAAGACATACGAATGGCCAAACAGCGTATGAACATCACTAATCATCAGAGAAATGCAAATTGAAACCACAATGAGATATCATCTTACAGTAGTCAGAATGGCTATTACTAAAAATGCTGGTGGGGAGTGGTGGCTCACGCTTGTAATCCCAGCACTTTGGGAAGCTGAGGCGGGTGGATCATGAGGTCAGGAGTTTGAGACCAGCCTGACCAACATAGTGAAACCCCATCTCTACTAAATATACAAAAGATTAGCTGGGCATGGTGGTGTGGTTCTGTAATCCCAGCTACTCAGGAGGCTGAGGCAGGAGAATCATTTGAACCTGGTTGGTGGAGGTTGCAGCGCGTGGAGATGGCGGCACTGCACTCCAGCCTGGGTGACAGTGGAAGACTCCATCTCAAAAAGAAAAAAAGAAAAAGTGAAACATATAACAGGTGTTGGCAAGGATGCAGAGAAAAGGAAACTCTTATACACTGTTGGCCGGTATGTAAATTAGTATAGCCTCTATGGAAGACAGTATGGAAATTTGGCAGAGAACCAAAAATAGAAGCACCATTCGATCTAGGGGTCCCGCTGCTGGGTATCTACTCAAAAAATACCTGCACCTGTATGTTTATTGCAGCACTGTTTGCAATAGCAAAGATATGAAATCAATCTAAGTGTCTGTGAATGAATGATTGGATTAAAAAAAGGATGCGTGTATACACAACGAAATACTATTTGGTCATAAAAATAAAACCATGTCTTTTGCAGCAACATAGATGGAGCTGGACGCCATTATTTTACATAAAACCACTCAGAAAGACAAATACCACATCTTCTCACTCTACATGGGAGGGGAGTAATGTGTACATATGGACGTAGAGTGTGGAATGACGGACAGCGGAGGCTAGAAGGCTGGAGGGTGGCGGGACGTGGGTGAGTGATGAGAATTTGCTTAATGAGTACAATGTACGGTATTTGGGTGATGGATATAGTAAAAGTCCTGACTTCACTACTCTGCAACATACTCATGTCACAAAATTACAAGTGTACCTCATAAATTTATACTAATAGAAAAGAAAGTCTGTACACAGTAATCAATTGTGATATGTAGATAAAGTCAATATTAAATTTAAACCAGAATAACTAGTTAAAATGTTGTGTACACAACAGTGAAGAGAGTATTTATCCTCTATGACAGAGGAAACCATCAATATTAATGCACAGAAAAAGCAAATAACTGAAACAAGAAAGAGCAGTTTTGTGACAGGGTAAAAATTGACAACAGTTTTAGAATGCTCCTAACTTGAGTTCCAAAAAGAAAGAACGAGAAAACAGGTCAGAAGCAATCTTTAAAGAGGCAATTGTTGATTATTTGGAGGAAGTAGACACATCCATCAATCCACAGGTTCAAGAAATCCAGTGAATGCCAGGCAGAATGAAGTAAACACACCTCACGTTCAACATTACAGAAAAGCAGCATAAAAGCACAACCAACCCTTAAAATTAGCCAGAGGAAAAGGATCAGCTGGTAAGGATTTATAGGGAGCCAAGCATTGTCTTCCCCACAGAAAAAAGGAAAACATAAGCCAGTAGAATAGCATCTTTACCCAGCTAAGATACCGTCGCCAGCCACCGACAATTCCTTACATAGTACAGTTACTGTCCAAGATCAACGCAGGAAAGAAACAGAACTGAAAGACAAAAGGGCAAAGAAAGCTTTTCTCACTGACCCTAAAGGAAATTCTGATGACCGTGCCTCAAAGATAAAGAAAGTGAAACCAGATGGGGTGTCGAAGATTCTGACAATAACTAAGAGCAGAGGAAGAACTAAAAATATGGCTATGCCAAAAATGAATATGGACCATACGATAGTGTATGAAAACACGCCCCTGTGTAATTTCTGAAAAAGATAGAATTATGTATACCACAAAACAAAACATCATATAAGTAAATACAAACATATGTACTAAATATGCTCTAAAATCCTGTTCTTACACAGGAAGAGTGGAAATATGTTTTTATATTTGCAGTTTAATCTCTGAAATGATTAATTTCAATTTTAAAAATATGTAACAACTTCAGGATGAGTACACCATATATGTATTCCTAAACGACATAGATCAAAAATAGAATGTTTGAAATAGAAAACCACAGAAGTCAGTGGGAAAAAAAGGGAATCAGGAAAACACAACGTAATAATAACAAAAATATGATTGGAAGAACTGCTCAAACATGAACAAAAGATTGTCAGAAAGTCTTACTTTCTAAGGCGAATTGTTTGAAATTTACAAAGGACACATCTCAATGTTAACAATTCATGGAGTTTGAAATTAAACAATGTAGAAATATACCAAGCAATCACTGTTAGAAATGTGGTATAACTATATTAAAATTAGACAAAATTAGTCTTTGGGAAAAATCAGCGGAAAACATTAAGCATAAAATGTAGGAAAAAAGCAGGTAAATTTATAGCATTTTAAATTTACCAGGAATATATAATCAGTTTACACTTAACCACTCCCAGTAATATTCCTGCAAATATACATGGAGGAAGAGTCGCGGAAATAAATGGACAGGTAGGCAAATCCACGGCCACAGTGGGGTGTTTAACACTCCTCTTTTCTCAGTTGTTGATAGAAGTGGTTCAGGCAATTAGAGAGGATTTAGAAAGATAATTGCTGGACCTGACCCAAGGTATAAGTCCACTCCCAACCACAGGACTCACTTTCCTTACAAGCACAAGGGCATTTAGAAATCTCTCTGGATTCTGACCAGCCCTCACCATATGGCAGGTCCATGGACTTCTTGGAACACACCAAGCTCATTCTCACATTAGGGTCATCCCCAATGTCCTAAGTCCATGAAAGTTCCTTTCAACACACTCCCCAGGGCTCACTCCCTCTTGTCTCTAAGATCGGAGTTTAAATGTGATCTCTCTGATGAGGTCTCAGTGAGACATTCCCTCCTGTACACTCCAAATGACAACGTTCCACGTTCATTCATTTCATTCTGTGCATGGCACTTTCACCAAGTGCTAAGGATTCACTCACTAATTCATACATTCATTCATTCATTCATTCACTCATTCCATCATTCACTCATTCATTCATTCTCTCATTCATTCATTCATGTTCTGCCTCTCTCTCCCACCCCACAGCAATGTGAGCATCATGAACCCAGGAGCTTGGCCGTGCTGTCTACTCCTGGCCATGAAACAGAGAGAACTGATGGTAGGTGTGAAATAAATATTAGATGAATGAGTTAGTGAAGGGGTCATTTACTGGGTGAGCTCAGTTCTCTCTACTCTAATGCCCTCCCTCGGCTGACTTCCCTGAGTTGCCCCCTCGGCTGAGTGAAGTCCCTTCACTGGCAAATGGAACCTCAACCAGTAGCACCTAGGTGGTCTCATACTTTGTTCTTTCCCTCTCCTCTTGCTCCCTAAGGATTATCAATCTCCATGACAGGGCTGGAGAGCAGACAAGCCACACATTCTTTCTGGGGAGAGAGTAACATGGAGTACAAGGCATTCCACATTTAGGAAGAGAACTCAGTTATGGAAGGTCAGAAATGAAAAGTTCCTACAGACCAACACCCAGGTTGGTGGCCACAGCCCTAAATGCTGATGGAGAATCACTGCAAGTCTGTAGGGAAGATGTCTGGCTTGAGGCCACTGAGCGAAGTGGCAGATCCTTCTCAGCCTTCAGTGCTGAGCCTCTGTCCCCTCAGGGATCCACTGACCAATGAGAAGAGCCTCTTCTCATCTCCTGGGATGGAGCTTGGGGCCCCTGGCGAAGGAATGGGCCTGTTTCCACCTGTCATGTTGTCATCTAGCTTGGAAATCCTGCGAGTCCCAGGGAGGCCCTCCCCGAGTCCCCAGAGAAGACTCCCCCACTGAGTCTCCAAGGTGTGGAGAGAGCAAAAAACATCTAGGGTGGAAAATGCCTCCCATCAAGAGACATTGGGGCTCCCCCAACGATGGTTGCATCTGTGCCCCCCATGTGGAAATCACTCTTTGGTGAGAGGTGGGGGCTTCTGGAAATGGGCAATGGCGGGCGGCCAATGCTACCTCTAGTCTTTCCAATCTGAGCCCGGCCTTTCATGCTCCTGAGTCAGCATTGATGCTGTTTACATGTGTCCCAGGTGGGCTTCTGTACAAAGACTGGGAAGTGGTTTATGTGGCCTGTGCTCTATCTGCAAGCTTCAGGTAGGGTTGCAGTTACCACCCCAAACCCTAATGTGATCTGTCTGCCTCGCTCTGTCTGTCTGTCTATGCCTCTTTCTGTATGTTTGCTTTGTGTCTCTTCTGTCCAGCATCTCTGGCTGACACCCCCATGGCCACCCCCTCCATCTGAGGCTCCCCTGAATGTGGCCATTGTAGTCCATCTGAGTCCCACTATTTGGGGAACAGACTGGTTTCCTCACCTGTGACAGAAACAAGCAGTGGGTCACTAAGGTCTGACCACTCGTAGGGAGAGTCACGGAAAGAGCCGAAGCATCTGTAGGTCCCTCCGTGGGTGGCAGGGCCCAGAGGAAAGTTGGCCTGGAAGGTTCCATTGACCTTGGGCACTGCAGGGAGCCTAAGTTCATGAGCCTCCCCGTCCCTTGATAGATGGTAGATGTCATAGGAGCTCCGGGAGCTGCAGGACAAGGTCACGCTCTCTCCTGCCTTAACCATGGGGCGCGGCTGGGCTGAGAGAGAAGGTTTCCCACATAGACCTGGAAGGAGAAGAGGCAGTTTCCTCAGGGAGGTTCTTCCTTGTCACAACTCCCCTCCCACCTGAGCTGAGAACTCACTCCCCTGCTCTATGGCCTAATGCTCTCTCTCTCTGTCTCACCCTCCACACCATCTCTCTTTATGTCTATTTCCTCTTTCCACCTTCTCTGTCTCTCTAGGTCTCTGACCTCACTTTCTCACCTCTAGATATGTTTTCCCTTTTTGGATTGTTTTATTCTCTCTGACTCTCCTTGGACTAGTTGACTTGATGTTACTTTTTTTAAATTCTGAGTTTCTCACTTTGTGTCCTGTTCATAACTTTCTGCATATTTCTATCTATTATCTATCGATATATCTATTTATCTATTTGGTGCCTATCTACAAATTCTCTACCTGTCATCTATATCTATATATAATCTATTTATCTATCAATTGTCTATCCAAAAATCATCTATTATCTATATCTATGTATCGTCTCTCTCTCTCTATGATTTCTCTTTGTCTGCCTCTCTATCTCTATGTATTATCTATCTATCTTCATCTTCATCATCTCTATGTATCATCGATTAATCAATGAATGAATCAATCATCATCTATGTATCTTTAACCTATTATCTATCATCTACCTATTTATCATCTATCTATATCTATCCATCTATCATCTGTCTTGCTCTGCCTCTCGGTCTCTCTAGTTCTCTTTGGAATCTCTGCAATTCATCCCCACATCTCCATCTTTCTATGTCCTTGTGTCTCTCCCTCAGGACTCTAATTTTAGTGCTTTTCTCTGTTCCCTTCCATTGTTCTCTCCACTTCTCTGCCCTCTTTTCTCCCTCTTTATGTGTCTGTGAGTCTCTCAATCTCCTTCCTCTGGCTCATTCTCTGTGTGTTTATGTCTTTGCTTTTTGGTGTCCCTGATTTCTCTCTGTGTCTCTCAGTGATCCTCTCATATGTGGGGTTATTTGGAATGTGAGCCTCAGAATCCAGTCTGGGGACCGCAAGTTCACACAGTATACAGGGGTTGATGTTCTGGGGCCATGATATCCTGGGACGATTACTCTCCATTGCATGGAAGGCAGAGGTGTCAGAATAAACACGGCATCTGTAGGTGCCAGAAGGCCTGAGGCCACAGGGCCCAACTCAGGCCAGAAATATGGGTGTCCTTGGGTTCTTCTGGTAGAGAACACTTTGTGGAAGTAAAACAGAAATGAAACTTCTAACCTGTGCCAGGTCTCTGAGCAAAGTCAGCATGGAAGGACACCTCTCTCTGGCACATGTCTGTCTGTGTCTCCTTTAACTCTTTCTGTCTTTTCTAACTCCCTGTATGGCCCCTGTGTCTGTCCTCTGTTATGACACCTGGTCTGTACTTGTGTCTCCTGTTTCTCTGTCTCTGTTGGTACAGACCTCACCAAGTTAGTCTCTCTCCATAAGAATACCAAGCTCATCTTCCTTATAACCACCTGGGCCTCCAAGTCGTGGATCATTCACTCTGTGTCCCAGTGACAATGAGAATAATGTCCAGACACTCTCACCTGTAATCACGATGTCCAGAGGGTCACTGGGAGCTGACAACTGATAGGGGGAATGAGGAACAGAACCGTAGCATCTGTAGGTCCCTGCAAGGTCTTGCGTCATGCGACCGATGGAGAAGTTGGCCTTGGAGACCCCATCATGGAGCTCTCCAGTGAGGCGCAAAGTGTCATTAAACGTCCCCTCTCTGTGCAGAAGGAAGTGCTCAAACATGACATCTGACCAACATTGCAGGATGACTGTCTCTTCTGATTTCACCAGGGGACCTGGGTGGGCCAGGAGGGAAGGTTTTCTGTGGACTCCTAGGAAGAGAGGTTGTGACTTTAGAAGGCATCTCTCTTTATCATCCCATCCATGGCACCTAGAATGAGTGAGGCTTCCCCTCGCTGGTGTCTTATCTCTCTCCTTCCTCTCTGTGTCTTCATGTTCTTTTCTGTGCCCATAACTCCTGGTACAGGTCCTTCCATCTGTCTCCCTCCCTCTTCTCTGTCCCTCTGTCTCTAGTAGCTCCTGATTCCCTTGCCGCTGGGCTCAGCCTCATCTCTTGGGCTGTTGTATCTATTTCGAACTAATGTCTTTCCTGCTTCTATGTGGGGGTGGAAGAGGAACCAGGATAGGCTGCACGTCCAGGCTCTTAGCAGACTGGTTCAATCTCTTTTGGACGATTTGGAATCCTTGGCAGAAGGTATGAACTGATCAGTAAGGCAGGCACCAGTGTCCACACACCCTGTTCCTGGTGGGGACTGGGAGCCACTCTTGCCATGCCTGTGCCTTCTCCATGGTGCCAGCTTCCATAGGCTGGCTTCTGGTGCTGGTTTGAGGAGTATCAACCCCTCCCTATGTGGATGGAGCCTGGTGGTGGCATCATCATCCCACCCTTGCTGATCTCGGTGTAGCCAACCTTCTCTTTGTTTGGTTTCTTTAATTAATTAATTAATTTTGGAGTCAGAGTCTCACTCCTTCACCCAGGCTGGAGTGAAGTGGTGTGGTCTAGGCTCACTGCAACCTCTGTCTCCTGGGTTCAAGTGATTCTCCTGCCCTCAGCCTCCTGAGTTGCTAGGATTACATGCACCTGCCACCACGCCCGGCTATCCTTGTGTCCTTTCTTATCTTGTCCTTGACCTGGGTTCCAGTGTTGGTTTCCTGTTGGTGCTGTGGAAAATTATCAGAAGCATGGCAGCAGGAGAGAGCACACTGACCCCTTCCGTTTCTGGAGACAGAAATCGGACCCTGTTTTTTGAGGGCTAAAATCAAGGCATCTGCAGGGCTGCGTTCCCTCTGGAGACCCAGGAGAATCAGTTCCTTGACTTTTCCAGCCTCTATAGGCCACCTGCATTCATGGCTCATGGCCTTCCTCCACCTTCAAAGCTGATGGAGACTTCCATTGCACTGCTCTAATCGCCACTCCCCTCTTCCTTCTCCTCTCATGTGCACCCTTGTGATTACACTGAGCCCAGCAGGACAGTCCAGGCTGTCTCCCCATCTCAAGGTCAACTCAACAACCTGAGCTCCATCTTCCCCTTCAGTGCCTTCCCCTATAACATAAATAGTCACAGACTGCAGGGATTAGAATGCAGTCATCATTGGGGACAATTATTCTTTCCACCACAGCACCCATTTCCCTGTATTCAATCCCCTTTTACCCCAAATACAGTTAGGGTCTGGATGATGGGACGCTGGTGGACACTCCCACCAGAAGCTCTGGGACTCAGGAGGTGGGACAAGGAGAATCCCAGACAGGAGCCCTCTGACCTGTGACCATGATCACCAGGGGGTTGCTGGGTGCTGACCACCCAGTGAGGAAGTGTGGGTGTGAACCCCGACATCTGTAGGTCCCTGCATGTGCTGGGGTCACAGGGCCTATGAAAACGGTGTTTCGGAATACTCTGTTGTAGAGCTCAGGGACAGGCATCCCGTCTTCTTTGGACAGACTGAATTCGTTAAACCCAAGACGAGAGCGACACTGAAGAGCCACATGTTCTCCTTCAGACACCACAGGGCTGGGCCAGGCAGAGAGGAAGGGCTTGTCCTGACCACCTGGGGGAGAAGGAGGCGCCACCTTAGAGAGGAGGATGTGGCACTCCCTCCCTCTATTCCTTTCCAGGACTCACCAACACACGCCATGCTGACGACCATGAGCGACATGGTGCTGCCGGTGCAGACAGGCGGCCGCGCCCCAGCTCAGCTCAGCAGCGCACAGGATGTTATTTGGCGCCCTGCCCATGCAGCTTACATGTTGACTACATCATGGGAGGGTGACGTACGCAGGCTCTTTCTACCTTGCATGAGGCCCAGTGGATGCTTGCTCAAGAGCGGAACACGGCTTCCTGGAAATTGTTCTCACTAGAATTGGCACCTCACGTCCTTCACTATGACCAACTCACAACACGTCTCAGATCCAACCTCCCGAACACAAGATGCCTAAAATCTGTGCTAACGTGAAAGACTTTTCATGTATTTTTATCCGAACACGAGATGCCTAAAATCTGTGCTAACATGAAAGACTTTTCATGTATTTTTTTTGTTTTTATCTGAGATTCAAACTCTTCTTCCTGTGTAATATGCAAAGTATCTAATAGGTATTATTAATGTTTTCGGAGTCATTGTGACTAATAAACCATTAGAATTTTTCATGCTTGTATTTCTAGTATTACAGCAGAACCAGCTAAAATGATTTAAATTCCCAGGGAAGGATTATGCAATTATTTACAATCTTAGAATTGTACTTTATCAGCAAAAACCACACCTGTAAATTCTGGAGTTTTGTAGTTTAATCTAAAATTTGTCTCATGACCCAAGATTCCAGAGTCCCAACTCTGGAGTTTGCTCTCTGTCTGTCTCTCTCCCTCCCTCGTTTTAAATTTTACAGAAATATCCAGTAACATAATGCTATAGAAAATCAAGTTTTCCCCAGCACGTTGGGAAGCCGAGGTGGGCGGATCAACTGAGATAAGGAGTTTGAGAGCAGCCTGGCCAATATAGTGAAACCGTGTCTCTGTTAAAAATCCAAAAATTAGCCGTGCCTGGTGGCAGGCACCTGTAACGCCAGCTACTCAAGAGGCTGAGGCACGAGAATCGCTTGAACCTGGGAGGCGGAGGTTGCAGTGAGCTGAGATTGTGCCACTGCAGTCCAGCCTGGGCGACAGAGCAAGACTCCGCCTCAAGAAAAAAAAAGCAAACAGCCTATAATAACAAATTAGAGGGCTCTGGCTACTAAATTTAAAGGGTTCTATAAGGCTACATAAAGTGCAGCATCATCAAGAGTGTGGACACAGAGAGCCCCTTAGCAGAAACAGTGTCTAAAATACATCCATGTACACACAGTCCCTTTAGAGTTGACAAAGGCTGCCGTGTGGTTTAAGGTGGCATAGAATGTCTTCTCAATAAATAATATTAAACCAATTGGTTACACCTAGGAAAAAATAAATCTAACTCACACTATAAAAACACTTCTTAGTTTTTATCTAGTTGTACATTTTTTATGATTTATATTTAAATTTGAGAAATAAAAGTCATATACGGTCATCCTTCACTATTCGTGGGTGATTGGTTTTGAGATCTCCACTCAGATACCAAAATCTGTAGATGCTCAAGCCTCTTATATGAAATGGCACAGCGTTTGCAAATAACCTATGCACATCCTCCTGTATACATGAAATCATCTCTAGATTACTTATAATTCCTGATACAGCCTACACACAGCTTCATTTGTGTCCATTCAACATAGTTATGCTTTTTGAAACTCTGTGGATACTTTCTCTCAATATTTTTGATTTATACTTGGTTCAATAAACACCTGTAAACCCCGCAGATATGGAGGAGTGACCGTATATTTATATTATGAAAGATGATGTGTTGATATGTGTCCCCATGGAGATGAGACTAACAAGGCCTATGATTCTACAAATGTTTCATTGTGGAATGACTCTGCCAGCTTTCCAGGTCTGCAGAGAGTAAGAGTATCACTTGTTCATATGATTCGTGATCCTTGGAACCTCCTATGTGCTACATCTTTGGATGGAAATTGGAGTCCCAGAGACAAATGAGGCTCCACCCTGCTTCCAGAAACTCAGAGTCCGGGGATGAGAACTCAGTGGGGAACAGATGGGATTATATGGACATGGTACTGATAACACCGGAAGCCTTAGGCAAGAAAAGAGTCCCATTACCGAAACCATGGGGGCAGACATGTTTATTTGAAGGATGGAAAACTACATTGAAGTTATTTTAAAAAATATATAAGTTTTACTGCTGACAGAAGACTGAAAGCTAGTCTGAGGGGAGGTGGAACAGCATGAGGGAAGGTGGAACAACACGTGTCTAAGTGCTGCGTTAAGAGGGAGCCTCTTGTATGTTTGGAATTGTGAGTTCCTCAGTGTGATTGCAGCCTCAAGTAGACTAGGAAGTAAGCCAGTTAGGTTGGAGAGGTGGGCAGGGGTCAAGTGAAATGGAGAACTGTGGGCTAAGCAAAGGAGTGTGTTTTTTCTCCAGCAGGCAGTGGGGACCTTAGACATTTGTAAGCAAGTGAGAGGCACATTCAGATTTGTGGTGTGAGGAAGATCGATGCCCTAAGATGCAGACTCATGCCTTCAGATTCCAGCTGCTGGTACATGGGAGCTGGCAACCCGGTTTTGAGACAGGGCTGTTGTCTCCCTAGAAGACGCCCTCAAGGCCTGACTGTGGTGCTCATGGGCAGGAGACAACTTTGGATCTGGACTCAGCATTTGGAAGTTCCGTGTACACGATGATATCTGTTGGGGGTGTCTTGGGCCTCTGAGAAGGGCGAGTGATTTTTCTCTGTGTGAAAACGCAGTGATTCAACTGTGTGTATGTCACCTCCTGAGGGTCTTGTTCATCAGAGTCCTGGAGAGAGGGAAATGCTGAGTGAGGGAGGGTGCTCACATTTTCCAGGACTCTTTGGGAATAACAGTAGCCACGAGCCCGGGCCGAGGAGTACCTACCTCGCTATTCGCTGTTCTGTTTCCTGCAGACTCTTGGTCCATTACCGCAGCATCTGTAGAAGACGGAAGTCAACAAAACAGCTCGGAGGGCACTTCTGGGTCCTCATTTCATAAGCAGATACCAACATACAGGGGGAGACCATAGGTGGCTGAGGTCCCTCAGTTGCCAACAGCAGACTCAGACATTCTATCTCTCTGAGCTCAAGGACCCATCCCATGAATAGCTCTGAGTTCCCATCCCATTGATTCTGTCTCCCACTTTCTGCCTGTCATGGAACCTTCTCCTGGATGTGAGTGGCTGCAGGGGACATGAGGATACAGTTCAGAATCAGGCAACGGTCTGTGAGTTGAAGGCAGGGACAGGGAGTCTGGTGCCCTCTCTAGAAAGTCCTGCCTCTGTGGCTGCTGCCTTGGGCCAGGGACCATCCTGTTTGTGAGGAACACACACCTGAGTGCTCCCATCCTGCTTCCCCACATGGCCCTGAGCTCTCTGGCCTCTGCTTCGTGAGACTTACTTTTTTTGTTGGAGCACCAGCGATGAAGGAGAAAGAAGAGGAGGATGAAGAGGATGATGACCACTGAGGTCCCAATCAGAATGTGCAGGTGTCGGGGGTTACCTGGAAGAAGATGAGACACCAATAAGAAGCTAATCTTAGCAGTTCCTCTTTATGAATTGTCTCGCATTTCTTGATTGACAGGTAACCACATAAAACACCTCTTTAGGACAAGCACCCAGATGGCAGGAGACCCAGCTTTCTCCTGCTTTTTCAGTTATAGCTCTCATAGTAACCATAGAACGTGCTGAGGATACGACTACTTTAGTTGAGATGTTTGACCCCTTCAAACCTCACATTGAAATTTCACCCCCACTGTGGGAGGTTGGGCCTCTTGAGAGGTGTTTGGGTCATGGAGGTGGATCCATCATGAACACATCAATGCTGTCCCAAGGAGACGGGGTTAGCAAGTTCCCCCTCTATTAGTTCCCGGAGAGCTGGTTGTTAAAAAGAGCTTGGAAGCTCCATCACTCCCCCTCCCCCTTGCTCCCTCTCTTGCCGTGTGATCTCTGTGGTCTCTGCACAGACAGACCCTCCTTCCCTTCTGCCAGAGTGGGAGCAGCCTGAGGCCGTCACGAGAAATAGATGCTGGTGCCATGCTTCCAGTACAGCCTGCAGAACGGTGAGGCAAACCAATCTCTTTTCTTTAGAAGTTACCGAGGCTCAAGTGTTCCTTTAGAGCAACAAAAATGGCCTAAGACAGCAACTTCCTGAGATCAGGAGGAACGTCTCAGAACACCCTGGGCTGTCTTCCTGTTCTTCCTGGAGGACGTCATGCAGTGCTTTAGCTGAGTGCTTCCTGTGGCTCCAGGGTACAAAACCCAGGCTGGGCTGCTTTCTGGCTTCCCCCAGCTACACTGCAAATGGGGTGACTCCATATGTCCCGAGCAGCTTTTCTGAGCCTTGAGGGACTGGGTCACATTGAAATATAGGTTTCTGTTGTCACTCGCTGCTTATCTGTTAGTAATGAACCTGCCTATGTAACGTATTCTCTGTGTGTTCTGTCTCCCTGGAGTGACGGTGAGTGATAGGAATTGGCATAGGCCCAGGTGCAGTCCAGGAGGTGTTTAGAGTCTTCTCTGGGAAGACTGGACTGGGATTGATTCACAGCGAATGTGCTTTAGGGTTTCTACATCCACAGCATTCTTGAATCAAACAACTTGCATTCTCCAAGGAAAGAAAACAAAAGTGAAATCAAGATAAAAAAAGCGAAATAGAATTCTCTTATGTCAAACGGCCAGGAAATAGTGTTGAAGCCCGTGTGAAACCTGCTGCTCTTTGTGATCTCGGGAGACACATATTAGGCTGCTGTTCTACCCGAGAGGCTGGGGGAAGGACCACCCCCTCGGCCATCTATTGCTTCAAAACCACCTGTCCTCCTGTGAATTAGTAGGAAAGGGGAGCAGGAGCTAGTGCTGTCGCTGATCTCTGATTCCAAGATCTGGACTCACTCCAAGGAGTGTTAATGTTTACCTCCCCATGGTCTATCTGAATCTCCACAGGTGATTGGAAGTAGGGGTGAGGTGGGGGATTTGGGTGAGTGGGCAAGTTTTTTTTGTGATGACCAGAGCACTTTCTCTATTCCAGGATCTGTGCTGGAGGATTCAGCGGGCTTTCACATTTTCTATATGATCTCATGCTCACAGAAAGCCAAATAGGGAAGAGGTTTTAGGCTCATTGCCTAATGGATAAGATAAAGGATCAAAGAAGTAATTATAGAGAAATAGAAAAATCATGATTGGAATTCAGGTGCCTTTGTCATTCGTGTGTGTTTTATTATATTTATGTATTTCTTATTTTTATTTTTTGAGATAGAGTCTCCTTGTGTCCCCCAGGCTGGAGTGCAGTGATGCAATCTCCACTCACTGCAACCTCCACCTACTGGGTTGAAGTCATTCTCCTGCTTCATCCTCCAGAATAGGAGCTGGGATTACAGGGATGCACCATCGTGCTCGGCTAATTTTTGTATTTTTAGTAGAGATAGGGTTTCACCACGTTGGCCAGGCTGGTCTGGAACTCCTGACTTCATGGAATCCACCCACCTTGGCCTCCTGCAGTGCTAGGTTACAGGTGTGAGCCACTGTTCACAGACTTGTATATTATGCTATAATAAGTCTCTTCATTTCCACCACCACTCATATATCTGTCACTCCTTTGCCAGGTATTGATTTATGTGTAGGATGAATAAATCTCAGAAAGAAATTAATTAAGTGAGGATTAAACAAGTAGGAAAATCAAACCCAGTAAGCCTTTCCAGTCAATGATTCTACCTCACAAACATATCTTATATCCATCTACTTCATTCATTTAGTGTCTAAATCAGCACCACATTTCACCAGTGGGGCGGCAATTGCCTTTTCCACGGTCTCCTAGATTCCAGTTATGCACCTGGGCCTCCCTTATTTTCATGTCAGTCATATTAATCATGTAGGGATTCCTGGTTACCCCGAGGTGAATCCAATGGCTGTGAGTGTCAAGCACACACTCCTTGTTCCTCCTTAGTTTCCTGTGTACCCAGTGTGCTCTCCGTCTCTCTACAGTCGTCTTGTCATTCTCCCCACCTCATTCCCAGCATTTGAGTCAGAGCCTCTTCCTTCCACATCAGATTGTTTTCACCTTTGTGCCTTCATGGCTGACAGCTGTGTGTGCAAAATCCTTCCGCCAATCTTTCAGGGGTTCATTCCGTGTTTTTCATTAATGTCACAAATATCTGAATAGTGAGACCTTCTTTGTCACCTGAAATCATACACTCAGCATTATCTATTATTGATTTTGAATTCTGGCTGGGCACAGTGGCTCACGCCTGTAGTCCCATTACTTTGGCATGCTGAGACGGTCGGATCACTTGAGGTTGGGAGTTTCAGACAAGCTTGGCCAACGTGGTGAAACATCCTCTCTACAAAAAATATACAAAAAGAATTAGCCGGGCACGGTGGCAGTTGCCTGTAATCCCAGCTACTCGAGAGGCGGAGGCAGGAGAATCCCTTGAATCCAGGAGACGCAGGTTGCAGTGAGCCAAGATCGTGACACTGCACTGTAGCCTGGAAGACAGAGGGCGACTCTGTCTCAATAAACAAAAGAACAAACAAAAAATAGATTTCATGCACAGATGCTTCCCAATGGACCATTCATTTATAGATCCACTTGTGCGTTCATTTTCTGCCCTCCCATTTAACCATCTGCAATATCAGTGTCCCAAGGGCAGAGGCCAAATGCATCTTGTTCACTGTTTGTGGAAGGCAGGAGAATGCTGTCCCACCCCAAAATGTCCCTGTCCTAGCCTCCACAGCTTGTGAATATGTTATTTTACATGGAAAGGAGGAATGAAGATTGCAGATGGAATTATGGTTGCTAATCAGCTGAACTTAAAACAAGGGTATCCTGGATGATTTCCAGGAGATTATGAGGGATTTTCATCTTGGTGAACCCAATAGAATCCCCAAGTTTTCAAAAGATGAGGAAGAAGGGAGAGCAGCACTCAGAGAAAGAGGTGTGGTAAGGAAGAAGGCACTGAGTGATGCCATGTGAGATGTGACCAGTCTTTGTGGGCTTTGAGGAAGGAGGAAGGGGACCAGGAGCCAAGGAACTGGGAGCCTTTAGAAGCTGGGACAAGTGAGAAGCAGATTCGTGCCTGGAATCCTCAGAGGGAAGGCAGCCTTGCTGTCACCTTGATTTTAGCCCAGTAAGATGCACTTCCTACTTTGAGCTACAGCACTGTAAGATAATTAAAAAACCGTTTTGTTTTCACCCACGAATCTTGTGGAAATTTGTTATGGCAACAATAGGAAAAGGTTCCACACTGCACAGCCTGAGCATGGGGCCGTGGCTGAATGAGTCAGTGAGTCGAAGTGTGCGTGCATGAGCTCTGTTCTCTGTTACGGCAAGGCTCTTTCTCTGCGGAGTCAGCCAGGGTTGCTTCATGACCTACAGGAGCTCATTCCTTGGCAAGTGGAACTTCTCTAAAACACCTTGCCCTCATCAGATGTTCCCTTCCCTTCCCTCTCTCAAGTCTCCAGGAATTTATCCTCCAGTTAGGAATGCAGGTAGAACAAACATTGCATTTTTCCTGAGAAGGATGTCAGATTGGCAATCATTCTTCTAGCTTGTAGGAGGTCTCAGCTCCATAAAATGAGAGATGAAGAGATTTCACTGAGCCCTGTGTTGGGCCCAGATCCCTTTCGCTGTAGGAGTATCTGGAGTTCGGAGATGGTGGAAGACAAGTGTACAATGTCAGAGCTGTGAGATGCTGAGTCAACGCCTGAATCCAAGGTTCCCACCTCCCCAGGGTTCCAAAAGCGGATATAAGAGGGTTCTGTACTCACCGGTTTTGGAGCTTGGTTCAGTGGGTGAAGGCCAACTATTTGAAGGGTTTCCTAGAACATGAGACAGGAGAGAGGTGAGGAAATGAGGGTGTCTGTCCTCCACTCAGTGGAAATCTTTGAGGATGGTTCATGGCCAACACTCTCTTATCTAATATTGGGCCCTGGGAGTCCTGGGATCCTTTTTTCCATAATTTTTTTATATGACACCCACTGTCTTGAGACTTCAAGATATAAAGAGAAAACAGGAGCATCACACTACCTGATCTCAAAATATGTTACAGAGCTGTAGTAAGCAAAATAGCATGACATTGGCATAAAGAAAGGCACATAGAACAACGGAGCAGAATGAATAACACAGATATATTCCATGCATTTACATCCAATGGTTTTTTATTTTTTCTTTTGAGATGGAGTCTTGCTCTGTCACTCAGGCTGGAGTGCAGAGGTGCAATCTCGGTTCACTGCAACCTCAGCCTCCTGGGTTCAATCATTCTCTTGCCTCAAATTCCTGAGTAGTGGTATTACAGGTGCTGACCACCATGCTCAGCTAATTTTTATATTTTTAGTGGAGACGATGTTTCATCACGTTGGCCAGACTAATCTTGAACTCCTGGCCTCAGGTGATCCACCCACCTCGGGCTCCCAAAGTGCTGAAATTGCAGGTGTTAGCCACCAAGCCCAGCCCATCCAATGGACTTTGACAAAGATGCCAAGAACTCACAATCAGGAAAGGACAGTCTTTTCAATAAACAGTGCAGGGAAACCTGGACATCTACATGCAGAGGAATGAAACTGCAACTCTACCTGTCACCATACACAAAAATCAAATGAAAATGGATTAAAGATGTGAGTCTAAGGCCTGAACCTATGAAACACGTAGAACAAAATATTGGGGAAATGCTCCAGGACGTTTGTCTGAAGGAAGACATTTTGTTTTAAACCTTCAAAACACAAGTAATCGAAGCAAAAATAGACCATTGGGATTACCTCAAACTAAGCAACTTCAGCACTGCTAAAAATAAACCAACAAAGTGAAGAGACAACCCACAGATTGGGAGCAAATATGTGCAAACTATGCATCTGAGATGGGATTAATAACTAGAAATATAAGAAGCTCAAACAACTCAATAAAACAAATGATTTAATTGAAAAAGGAGCAAAAGACATGAAATTTCCCCACATACGAAAAAGTGCTCAGTATCACTCATCATCAGAGAAACGCAAATTAAAATCAAAGTGAGTTTTCATCTCACCCCATTAAAATGGCTTTTAGGCCGGGTGAGGTGGCTCACTTGTGTCATCCTAGAACTTTGAGAACCTGAGGTGGGTGAATCTCATAAGGTTGGGAGTTTGAGACCAGTCTGACCCACATAGAGAAACGCTGTCTCTACTAAAAATACAAAAATTAGTAGGGCGTGGTGGCGTGTGCCTGTAATTCCAGCTACTCGGGAGGCTGAGGCAGGAGAATCGCTTGAACCTGGGAGGTGGAGGTTGTGGTGAGCCGAGATAGCGCCACTGCACTCCAGCCTGGGTGAGAAGAGCAAAACTCCATCTCAAAATAAAATGAAATAAAATAAAATGGCTTTTAGCTGCAAGACAGGCAAAAGAAATGCTGGCAAGGTGGTAGAGAAAGGAGAACCCTGGTACCCTGTTGGGAGGAGTGTAAATTAGTACAGCCATTACGGAGAAAAGTATGGAAGTCCTTTAAAGAACTAAAAAGAGGTTGGGTGAGGTGGATCATGCCTGTAATCCCGGCACTTTGGGAGACTGAGGCGGGCACCTCAGTTGAGGTCATGAGTTTGAGAGCAGCCCAGCCAACATGGGGAAACCGCATCTATACTAAAAAAACCAAAAAGTAGCCAGGCATGGTGGTGTGCACCTGTAATCCCAGCTACTAGGGAGGCTGAGGCAGGAAAATCATTTGAACCCAGGAGGCGGAGGTTGCAATGAGCCAAGGTTGCACCACTTTGACTCCAGCTTGGGCTAAGGAGGGAAACTCTTTCTCAAAAAAGAAAAAAAAAAAAAAAAAGAGAACTTTCATAGTATCCAGCAATTTCACTACTGGGTTTATATCCAAAGGAAAGTAAATCAACATATCGAAGTGATATCTGCACTCGTATGATTGGTGCAGCACTGTTCACAGTAGCCAAGATGAGGAGTCAACCTACCTGCCCATCAGTGGGTGAATGGATAGAGAGAATGTAGTACATACGCACAGTGGAGACTACTCATCCATAGAAAGAATAACATCCTGTCATTTGCAGCCACATGGATGGAACTGGAGGTCATTAAAAAGATTCCCATTTCTCACCCATATACAGGAGCTAAAAGGTGGATCTCATGAAGGTAGAGAGTAGAATGGTGGCTACTGGAGGACAGGAAGAAAAGGGTGGAGGGTAAAAAAAATGTATATATATATATATATAAAAATGTATTTATGACCACTAGACTTTACACTTAAAAATGGTAAATGTGGCTGGGCCTGGTGGCCCATGCCTGTAATCCCAGCACTTTGGGAGGCTGATGCGGGTGGATCACGTGGTCAGGAGTTCGAGACCAGCTCGACCAACATGGTGAAACCACCTCTCTACTAAAAATACAAAAAGTAGCCTGGCGTGGTGGTGCGTGCCTGTAGCACTAGCTACTCAGGTGGCTGAGGCAGGAGAATCGCTTGAACCCAGGAGGCGGAGGTTGCAGTGAGCTGAGATTGTGCCACTGCACTCCATCATAGGGGACAGAGCTAGACTCCACCTCAAAAAAAAATGTTAAAAGTGGTAAGCTATATAGGTATATTTATCCTCAATAAATATTTCTTCAAAGAAAAGTAAAGGGTGTAGGGGTTGCTGGTGATGACATCTCTGTGTGGGTGAGAGGCCAGGATGGGCTTCTGGGAAATGGGTAAGGTTGAGGGGCTGAGGGAACCTCTGATCTCCCCAAACTGAGCCCAGTCTCCCTCCTCTGGGTCTCTCCTGACCGCTTTCTCCATCTGCCTGGGTGCCTGGAGCCCTGGCCGTGGGCCTCCATGCAGGCCATGTAGGAGGGTTTGGAGGTGCCCTGTCGGCCATCCTGTGCCCTGATCCCTCCCTCACACCGAGGCTGCGTCTTCTCTCTGCATCTGTCCATGCTTCTCTCCATCCTCAGCAGGAAGCTCCTCAGCTAAGGCTCTAGGATCATAGGACATGGGACAGCCATGGGCTTTCCTCACCTGTGACAGAAACAAGCAGTGGGTCACTTGACTTTGACCACTCGTATGGAGAGTCATGGAAAGAGCCGAAGCATCTGTAGGTCCCTCCGTGGGTGGCAGGGCCCAGAGGAAAGTCAGCCTGGAATGTTCCGTTGACCTTGGGCCCTGCAGGGAGCCTACGTTCATGGGCCTCCCCTTCCCTGGATAGATGGTACATGTCATAGGAGCTCCGGGAGCTGCAGGACAAGGTCACATTCTCTCCTGCCAGAACCGTGGGGCCCGGCTGGGCTGAGAGAGAAGGTTTCTCATATAGACCTGGAAGGAGAAGAGGCAGTTTCCTCAGGGAGGATCTTCTTTGTCACAGCTCCCTTCACCTGAGCTGAGAACTCACTCCCCTGTTCTATGACCTAATGCTCTCTCTCTCTCTCTCTCACCCTCTACCCCATCGCTCTTCATGTCTATTTCCTCCTTCCACCTTCTCTGTCTCTCTAGGTCTCTGACCTCACTTCCCCACCTCTAGATATGTTTTCTCTTTTTGGATTGTTTTATTCTCTCTGACTCTCCTTGGATTGGTTGACTTGATGTTACTTTTTTTAATTCTGAGTTTCTCACTTTGTGTCCTGTTCATAACTTTCTGCATATTTCTATCTATTATCTATCGATCTATCTATTTATCTATTCGGTGCCTATCTACAAATTCTCTACCTGTCATCTATATCTATATATCATCTATTTATCCATCAATTGTCTATCTATCCATCAATCATCTATTATCTATATCTATGTATCATCTCTCTCTCTCTATGATTTCTCTATGTCTGCCTCTGTATCTCTATGTATTATCTATCTATCTGTCTTCATCATCATCATCTCTATGTCTCATCTATTAATGAATCAATCAATCATCATCTATGTATCTATAACCTATTATCTATCATCTACCTATTTATCATCTATCTATATCTATCCATCTATCATCTGTCTTGCTCTGCCTCTCGGTCTCTCTAGTTCTCTTTGGAATCTCTGCAATTCATCCCCACATCTCCATCTTTCAATGTCCTTGTGCCTCTCCCTCAGGAGTCTAATTTTAGTGCTTTTCTCTGCTCCCTTCCATCATTCTCACTTCTCTGCCCTCTTTTCTCTCTCTTTATGTGTCTGTGAGTCTCTCAATCTCCTTCCTCTGGCTCATTCTCTGTGTGTTTATGTCTTTGCTTTTTGGTGTCCCTGATTTCTCTCTGTGCCTCTCACTGATCCTCTCATAAGTGGGCTTATTTGGAATATGAGCCTCAGAATCCAGTCTGGAGACTACAAGTTCACACAGCATACAGGGGTTGGTGTTGTGGGGCCATGATATCCTGGGACGATTACTCTCCATTACATGGAAGGCAGAGGTGTCAGAATAAACATGGCATCTGTAGGTGCCACAAGGCCTGAGGCCACAGGGCCCAACTCAGGTCAGAAATATGGGTGTCCTTGGGTTCTCCTGGTAGAGAACACTTTGTGGAGGTAAAACAGAAATGAAACTTCTAACCTGTGCCAGGTCTCTGAGCAAAGTCAGCATGGAGGGACACCTCTCTCTGGGACATGTCTGTCTGTGTGTCTCCTTTAACTCTTTCTGTCTTTTCTAACTCCCGGTATGGCCCCTGTGTCTGTTCTCTGTTATGACACCTGGTCTGTACTTGTGTCTCCTGTTTCTCTGTCTCTGTTGGCACAGACCTCACCAAGTCAGTCTCTCTCCATAAGAATACCAAGCTCATCTTCCTTACAGCCACCTGGGTCTCCAATTCCTGGATCATTCACTCTGCATCCCAATGACAATGAGAAGAAAGTCTGGACACTCTCACCTATGATCACGATGTCCAGAGGGTCACTGGGAGCTGACACCTGATAGGGGGAGTGAGTAACAGAACCGTAGCATCTGTAGGTCCCTGCCAGGTCTTGCGTCATGCGACTGATGGAGAAGTTGGCCTTGGAGACCCCATCATGGTGTTCTCCAATGAGGCGCAAAGTGTCGTTAAACATCCCCTCTCTGTGCAGAAGGAAGTGTTCAAACATGACATCTGACCAACATTGCAGGATGACTGTCTCTTCTGATTTCACCAGGGGACCTGGGTGGGCCAGGAGGGAAGGTTTTCTGTGGACTCCTAGGAAGAGAGGTTGTGAGTTTAGAAGGTGTCTCTCTTTATCATCCCATCCATGGCACCTGGATTGAGTCAGGCTTCCCCTTCCTGGTGTCTTATCTCTCTCCTTCCTCTCTGTGTCTTCATGTTCTTTTCTGTGCCCATAACTCCTGGTGCAGGTCCTTCCATCTGTCTCCCTCACTCTTCTCTGTCCCTCTGTCTCTAGTAGCCTCTGATTCCCTTGCCGCTGGGCTCAGCCTCATCTCTTGGGCTGTTGTATCTATTTCGAACTAATGTCTTTCCTGCTGTCTATGTGGGGGTGGAAGAGGAACCAGGATAGGCTGCACATCCAGGCTCTTAGCAGCCTGGTTCAATCTCTTTTGGACGAATTGGAATCCTTGGCAGGAGGTATGAACTGATCAGTAAGGCAGGCACCAGTGGCCACACACCCTGTTCCTGGTAGGGACTGGGAGCCACTCTTGCCATGCCAGTGCCAGCTTCCATAGGCTGGCTCCTGGTGCTGGTTGGAGGAGTATCAACCGCTCCCTATGTGGATGGAGCCTGGTGGTGGCATCATCATCTGAGCCTTGCTGATCTCAGTGTAGCCAACCTTCTCCTTGTTTGGTTTCTTTAATTAATTAATTAATTTTGGCGACAGAGTCTCACTCCTTTGCCCAGGCTGGAGTGAAGTGGTGTGGTCTAGGCTCACTGCAACCTCTGTCTCCTGGGTTCAAGTGATTCTCCTGCCCTCAGCCTCCCAAGTCGCTAGGATTACATGCACCTGCCACCATGCCTGGCTATCCTTGTGTTGTTTCTTAACTTGTCCTTGACCTGGGTTCCAGTGTTGGTTTCCTGTTGCTGCTGTAGAAAATTATCAGAAGCATGGCACCAGGAGAGAGCACACTAACCCCTTCCAATTCTGGAGACAGAAATCGGACCCTGTTTGTCGTGGGTAAAATCAAGGCACCTGCAGGGCTTCGTTCCCTCTGGAGACTCAGGAGAATCAGTTCCTTGACTTTTCCAGCCTCTATAGGCCACCTGCATTCATGGCTCCTGGACTTCCTCCACCTTCAAAGCTGGTGGAGTCTCCCATTGCGCTGCTGTAATCCCCACTCCCCTCTTCCTCCTCCTTTCATGTGGACCCCTGTGACTACACTGAGCCCATCAGGACAGTCCAGGCTGTCTCCCCATCTCAAGGTCAACTCATCAACAACCTGAGCTCCATCTTCTCCTTCAGTCCCTTCCCCTATATCATAAATAGTCACAGACTCCAGGGATTAGAATGTAGTCATCACTGGGGACAATTATTCTTCCCACCACAGCACCCATTTCCCTGTATTCAATCCCCCTTTACCCCAAATACAGTCAGGACTTGCATGATGGGACCCGCAAGGACACGCCCACCAGGAGCTCTGGGATTCAGGAGGTGGGACAAGGAGAATCCCAGACAGGAGCCCTCTGACCTGTGACCGTGATCTCCAGGGGGTTGCTGGGTGCCGACCACCCACTGGGGTAGTGTGGTTGTGAACCCCGACATGTATAGGTCCCTGCGTGTGCTGGGGTCACAGGGCCCATGAAAAGGCTGTTCCAGAATATTATGTTGTAGAGCTCAGGGACAGGCACCCCATCTTCCTTTTACAGACTGAAGTTGTTAAACCCAAGATAAGAATGACACTGAAGAATCACATGTCCTGGAGGCACCACAGGGCTTGGCCAGGCAGACAGCAAGGGCTTGTCCTGACCACCGTGGGGAGAAGGAGGCACCGCCTTAGAGAGGAGGATGTGGAGCCGCCCCTCCCTCCCTGTGCTCTGAAGATTCTCCTCGCTTTCCAAGTTTCTATGGCTGCTATCACACCTTGGTGCCCAGGGCTAAAGGAAGGACCCATCCCGCAAACACAAGGTGTCTCCCTACAACAAAAGTGTCAGCTGAGAACTTTGAGCAAGTGCTGAGTAAGAGACTCCTACTAGATTTTAATACTGTAAGATTACTCACATAAAACAACACAGGGTAGACATGGGGTGGAGGGCATGTCCTTTGAGAATGGAATATCAGCCGATGCCTGAACGAAAATAAACAACTGAGTCCCCATCAGAGGATTGGAATGTCAGGGCCATGGCTGTGGTTTTCCCACCTCTTCTGGTAGAATGACAGCAGCCACACTGCAGCCCCTACCGTCATGGAAACGCTGAAGTGTGTGAGTAACACCTTTGTCCTCAGAGGATCTGCTGTTCCTACCACTTCCCCACCACACACCCCAGCTTTGAGCACCGTAGTCTAACCCTGGTCCCCACAGAACTTGACTCTGCCAAGGGAATGAAAGGCCAGGGAGGCAAGGTCAGAAATGTGGGCCCAGCACCCCAGGGTCCCTTCTTCCTAGTTTATGAGAGACTCCCTGACAGGACTTCCCTCCCATTTCAGGAAAATCCTCTTATGTGGGGAGATGACACCCGAAGGTTTGGAGAAGGACTCACCCTCATGTGGCCAGGCCCCCTGCAGCAAGAAGAACCCTGGAAAGAAAGATCATGATGGATGACCCATCTGCAGGCAAACCAGGGCACCCTTGCTGCCCCCACTGGGCTGTGAGTCTTGGTAGCCAGGCCCTTCCTGGGCTGAAGGTAAACTCACCCTCAGTGCCTACCTGCACCCAAGAACAGGGCTGTCGGCTGTGCAGAGACCCAGCCTCCAGGTCCATATCCCCACCTCAAGCCCATATCTCCACTCCAGGCCCATATCTCCACTCCAGGCCGATATTTCCACCCTAAGCCCATATCGCCAATCCAGGCCCATATCTCCAATCCAGGCTCAGATCTCCACCCTGGGCCCATATCTCCAATCCAGGCCCTTATCTCCACTCCAGGTCCATATCTCCTCTCCAGTCCCATATCTCCACTCCAGGCCCATATATCCTCTCCAGTCCCATATCTCCACACCCAGGCCCGTATCTCCATCCTAGGCACATATCTCCTCTCCAGGCCCAGATATCGACCTCTAGGCCCATATCTCCACTCCTGGCCCATATCTCCACTCCAGGCCCAGATATCGACCTCTAGGCCCATATCTCCACTCCTGGCCCATATCTCCACTCCAGGCCCATGTCTCCACTTCAGGCCCATATCTCTACTGCAGGCCCGTAACTCCACCTCCAGGCCCATGACTCCACTCCAGGCCCATATCTCCACCTCCAGGCCCATATCTCCCCTCCAGGTTCCTATCTCCCCTCCAGGTTCCTATCTCCACTCCAGGCCCAGATCTCCACTACAGTCCCATCACTCCACCTCCAGGCCTATATCTCGACCTCTGGGCCCAGATCTCCACTTCTAGGCCCATCACTCCATCTCTAGGCCCATATATCCACTCCAGGCCCAGATCTCCACTCCAGGCCCATAACTCCACCTCCAGGCCTATATCTCCACCTCTGGGCCCAGATCTCCATCCCCTCACTCCCTCCCTCTATTGCTTTCCAGGACTCACCAACACACGCCATGCTGACGAACAAGAGCGACATGGTGCTGCCGGAGCAGACAGGCAGCCGCGACCGAGCTCAGCTCAGCAGCGCACAGGATGTTATTTGGCGCCCTGCCCATGCAGTTTACATGTTGACCACATCATGGGAGGGTGACGTACGCAGGCTCTTTCTACCTTGCATGAGGCCCAGTGGGTGCTCGCTCAAGAGCGGAACACGGCTTCCTGGAAATTGTTCTCGCTAGAATTTGACACCTAGTGTCCTTCACTATGACCAACTCAAAACACGTCTGAGATCCAACCTCCCGAACACGAGATGCCTAAAATCTGTGCTAACATGAAAGACTTTTCATGTATTTCTATTGTTTTTATCTGAGATTCAAACTCTTCTTCCTGTGTAATATGCAAAATATCTAATAGGTATTATTAATGTTTTCAGAGTCATTGTGACTAACAAACCATTAGAATTTTTCATGCTTGTATTTCTAGTATTACAGCAGAACCAGTTAAAATGATTTAAATTCCCAGGGAAGGATTATGCAATTATTTACAATCTTAGAATTGTACTTTATCAGTAAAAACCCCACCTGTAAATTCTGGAGTTTTGTAGTTTAATCTAAAATTTGTCTCATGACCCAAGATTCCAGAGTCCCAACTCTGGAGTTTGTTTTCCGTCTGTCTCTCTCCCTCCCTCATTTTAAATTTTACAGAAATATCCAGTAACATAATGCTATAGAAAATCAAGTTTCCCCAGCACGTTGGGAAGCCGAGGTGGGCGGATCAACTGAGATAAGGAGTTTGAGAGCAGCCTGGCCAATATAGTGAAACCGTGTCTCTGTTAAAAATCCAAAAATTAGCCGTGCCTGGTGGCAGGCACCTGTAACGCCAGCTACTCAAGAGGCTGAGGCACGAGAATCGCTTGAACCTGGGAGGCAGAAGTTGCAGTGAGCTGAGATTGTGTCACTGCAGTCCAGCCTGGGCGACAGAGCAAGACTCCGCCTCAAGAAAAAAAAGCAAATAGCCTATAATAACAAATTAGAGAGCTCTGGCTACTAAATTTAAAGGGTTCTATAAGGCTACATAAAGTGCAGCATCATCAAGAGTGTGGACACAGAGAGCCCCTTAGCAGAAACAGTGTCTAAAGTACATCCGTGTACACACAGTCCCTTTAGAGTTGACAAAGGCTGCCGTGTGGTTTAAGGTGGCATAGAATGTCTTCTCAATAAATAATATTAAACCAATGGGTTATACCTAGGAAAAAATAAATCTAACTCACACTATAAAAACACTTCTTAGTTTTTATCTAGTTGTACATTTTTTATGATTTATATTTAAATTTGAGAAATAAAAGTCATATACGGTCATCCTTCACTATTCCTGGGTGATTGGTTTCGAGATCTCCACTCAGATACCAAAATCTGTAGATGCTCAAGCCTCTTATATGAAATGGCACAGAGTTTGCAAATAACCTATGCACATCCTCCTGTATACATGAAATCATCTCTAGATTACTTATAATTCCTGATGCAGCCTACACACAGCTTCATTTGTGTCCATTCAACACAGTTCTGCTTTTTGTAACTCTGTGGATACTTTCTCTGAATATTTTTGATTTATACTCGGTTCAATAAAGAACTGTAAACCCCACAGATATGGAGGAGTGACTGTATATTTATAGTGTGAAAGATGATGTGTTGATATGTGTCCCTGTGTAGATGAGACTAACAAGGCCTATGACTCTACAAATGTTTCATCTTGGAATGACTCTGCCAGATTTCCAGGTCTGCAGAGAGTAAGAATATCACTTGTTCATGTGATTCACGATCCTTGGAACCTCCTATGTGCTACATCTTTGGATGGAAATAGGAGTCCCAGAGACAAATGAGGCTCCACCCTGCTTCCAGAAACTCAGAGTCCGGGGGTGAGAACCCAGTGGAGAACAGATGGGGTTATGTGGACATGGTAATGATAACACTGGAAGTCTTAGGCAAGAAAAGAGTCCCATTACCGAAACCATGAGGGCAGACATGTTTATTTGAAGGAGGGAAAACTACATTGAAATTATTTTAAAAAATATATAAGTTTTACTGCTGACAGAAGGCTGAAAGATACTCTGAGGGGAGGTGGAACAGCATGAGGGAAGGTGGAACAGGACGTGTCTAAGTGCCGTGTTAAGAGGGAGCCTCTTGTATGTTTGGAACTGTGAGTTCCTCAGTGTGATTGCAGCCTCAAGTAGACTAGGAAGTAAGCCAGTAAGGTTGGAGAGGTGGGCAGGGGTCAAGTGAAATGGAGAATTGTGGGCTAAGCAAAGGAGTGTGTTTTCTCTCCAGCAGGCAGTGGGGACCTTAGACATTTGTAAGCAAGAGAGAGGCACATTCAGATTTGTGGTGTGAGGAAGAGCGATGCCCTAAGATGCAGACTCACGCCTTCAGATTCCAGCTGCTGGTACATGGGAGCTGGCAACCCGGTTTTGAGACAGGGCTGTTGTCTCCCTAGAAGATCCCCTCAAGGCCTGACTGTGGTGCTCATGGGCAGGAGACAACTTTGGATCTGGACTCAGCATTTGGAAGTTCCGTGTACACTCTGGTATCTGTTGGGGGTGTCTTGGGCCTCTGAGAAGGGCGAGTGATTTTTCTCTGTGTGAAAACGCAGTGATCCAACTGTACGTATGTCACCTCCTGAGGGTCTTGTTCATCAGAGTCCTGGAGAGAGGGAAATGCTGAGTGAGGGAGGGTGCTCACGTTTTCCAGGACTGTTTGGGAATAACACTAGCCACGAGGCTGGGCCGAGGAGCACCTACCTCGCTATTCGCTGTTCTGTTCCCTGCAGGCTCTTGGTCCATTACAGCAGCATGTGTAGGAGACGGAAGTCAACAAAAGAGCTCGGAGGGCACTTCTGGGTCCTCATTTCATAAGCAGATACCAACAAACAGGGGGAGGCCATAGGTGCCTGAGGTCCCTCAGTTGCCAACAGCAGACTCAGACATTCTATCTCTCTGAGCTCAAGGACCCATCCCATGAATAGCTCTGAGTTCCCATCCCATTGATTCTGTCTCCCACTTTCTGCCTGTCATGGAACCTTCTCCTGGATGTGAGTGGCTGCAGGGGACATGAGGATACAGTTCAGAATCAGGCAACGGTCTGTGAGCTGAAAGCAGGGACAGGGAGTCTGGTGCCCTCTCTAGAAAGTCCTGCCTCTGTGGCTGCTGCCTTGGGCCAGGGACCATCCTACCTGTGAGGAACACACACCTGAGTGCTCCCATCCTGCTTCCCCACATGGCCCTGAGCTCTCTGGCCTCTCCTTCGTGAGACTTACTTTTCTTGTTGGAGCACCAGCGATGAAGGAGAAAGAAGAGGAGGAGGATGAAGAGGATGATGACCACTGAGGTCCCAATCAGAACGTGCAGGTGTCTTGGGTTACCTGGAAGAAGATGAGACACCAATAAGAAGCTAATCATAGCAGTTCCTCTTTATGAATTGTCTCGCATTTCTTGATTGACAGGTAACCACGTAAAACACCTCTTTAGGACAAGCACCCAGATGGCGGGAGACCCAGCTTTCTCCTGCTTTCTCAGTTATAGCTCTCAAAGTAACCATAGAATGTGCTGAGGATACAACTACTTTAGTTGAGATGTTTGACCCCTTCAAACCTCACATTGAAATTTCACCCCCATTGTGGGAGGTTGGGCCTCTTGAGAGGTGTTTGGGTCATGGAGGTGGATCCATCATGAACAGATCAATGCTGTCCCAAGGAGACGGGGTTAGCTAGTTCCCCCTCTATTAGTTCCCAGAGAGCTGGTTGTTCAAAAGAACTTGGAAGCTCCATCGCTCCCCCTCCCCCTTGCTCCCTCTCTTGCCGTGTGATCTCTGTGGTCTCTGCACAGACAGACCCTCCTTCCCTTCTGCCAGAGTGGGAGCAGCCTGAGGCCATCACGAGAAATAGATGCTGGTGCCATGCTTCCAGTACAGCCTGCAGAACGGTGAGGCAAACCAATCTCTTTTCTTTAGAAGTTGCCCAGGCTCAAGTGTTCCTTTAGAGCAACAAAAATGGACTAAGACAGCAACGTCCTGAGATCAGGAGGAACGTCCCAGAGCAGCCTGGGCTGTCTTCCTGTTCTTCCTGGAGGAGGACGTCATGCAGTGCTTTAGCTGAGTGCTTCCTGTGGCTCCAGGGTACAAAACCCAGGCTGGGCTGCTTTCTGGCTTCCCCCAGCTACACTGCAAATGGGGTGACTCCATATGTCCCGAGCAGCTTTTCTGAGCCTTGAGGGACTGGCTCACATTGAAATGTAGGCTTCTGTTTTCACTCGCTGCTTATCTGTTAGTAATGAACCTGCCTATGTAACGTATTCTCTGTGTGTTCTGTCTCCCTGGAGTGACGGTGAGTGATAGGAATTGGCGTAGGCCCAGGTGCAGTCTAGGAGGTGTTTAGGGTCTTTTCTGGGAAGACTGCACTGGGATTGACACACAGCGAATGTGCTTTAGGATTTCTACATCCACAGCATTCTTGAGTCAAACAACTTGCGTTCTCCAAGGAAAGGAAACAAAAGTGAAATCAAGATAAAAAAGCGAAATAGAGTTATCTTATGTCCAACAGCCAGGAAATCGTGTTGAAGCCCCTGTGAAACGTCCTACTCTTTGTGATCTCGGGAGACACATGTTAGGCTGCTGTTCTACCTGAGAGGCTGGGGGAAGGACCACCCCCTCCACCATCTATTGCTTCAATACCACCTGTCCTCCTGTGAATTAGTAGGAAAGGGGAGCAGGAGCTAGTGCTGGTGCTGATCTCTCATTCCAAGATCTGGACTCACTCCAAGGAGTATTAATGTTTACCTCCCCATGGTCTATCTGAATCTCCACAGGTGATTGGAAGTAGGGGTGAAGTGGGGGATTTGAGTGAGAGGGCAAGTTTTTTTTGTGATGAACAGAGCACTTTCTCTATTCCACGATCTGTGCTGGAGGATTCAGCGGGCTTTCACATTTTCTATATGGTCTCATGCTCACAGAAAGCCAAATACGGAAGAGGTTTTAGGCTCATTGCCTAATGGATAAGACAAAGGATCAAAGAAGTAATTATAGAGAAATACAAAAATGATGATTGGAATTCAGGTGCCTTTGTCATTCGTGTGTGTTTTATTATATTTATGCATTTCTTATTTTTATTTTTTGAGACGGAGTCTCCTTGTGTCACCCAGGCTGGAGTGCAGTGATGCAATCTCCACTCACTGCAACCTCCACCTCCTGGGTTGAAGTTGTTCTCCTGCTTCATCCTCAAGAGTAGGAGCTGGGATTACAGGGATGCACCACCATGCTCGGCTAATTTTTGTATTTTTCATAGAGACAGGGTTTCACCATTTTGGCCAGGCTGGTCTGGAACTCCTGACTTCAAGTGATCCACCCGCCTTGGCCTCCTGCAGTGCTGGGAATTGCCTTTTCCACGGCCTGAGCATGGGGCCGTGGCTGAATGAGTCAGTGAGTCGAAGTGTGCGTGCATGAGCTCCGTTCTCTGTTAAGGCAAAGCTCTTGCTCTGCTGAGTCAGCCAGGGTTGCTTCATGACCAACAGTAATTCATTCCTGGGCAAGTGGAACTTCTCTAAAACACCTTGCCCTCATCAAATGTTCCCTACCCTTCCCTCTCTCAAGCCCCCAGGAATTTATCCTCCAGTTAGGAATGCAGGCAGAACAAACATTGCATTTTTCCTGAGAAGGATGTCAGATTGCCAATCATTTTTCTAGCTTGTAGGAGATCTCAGCTCCATAAAATGAGAGATTAAGAGATTTCACTGAGCCCTGTTTTGGGTCCAGATCCCTTTCGCTGTTGGAGTATCTGGAGTTCGGAGATGGTAGAAGACAGGCGTACAATGTCAGAGCTGTGAGATGCTGAGTCAACGCCTGAATCCAAGGTTTCCACCTCCCCAGGTTTCCAAAAGCGGATATAAGAGGGTTCTGTACTCACCGGTTTTGGAGCTTGGTTCAGTGGGTGAAGGCCAACTATTTGAAGGGTTTCCTAGAACACGAGACAGGAGAGAGGTGAGGAAATGAGGGTGTCTGTCCTCTACTCAGTGGAAATCTTTGAGGTTGGTTCATGGCCAACACTCTGTTATCTAATATTGGGCCCTGGGAGTCCTGGGATCCTTTTTTCCGTAATTTTTGTATGTGACGGCTACTGTCTTGAGACTTCAAGGTATAAAGAGAAAACAGGAGCATCACACTACCTGATCTCAAAATATGTTACAGAGCTGTAGTAAGCAAGACAGCATGACGTTGGCATGAAGAAAGGCACATAGAACAACGGAGCAGAATGAATAACACAGATATAATCCATGCATTTACCTCCAATGTATTTTTTGTTTTTCTTTTGAGATGGAGTCTTGCTCTGTCACCCAGGCTGGAGTGCAGAGGTGCAATCTCGGTTCACTGCCACCACAGCCTCCTGGGTTCAATCACTTCTCTTGCCTCAAACTCCTGAGTAGTGGTATTACAGGTGCTGACCACCATGCTCAGCTAATTTTTATATTTTTAGTGTAGACGATGTTTCATCACGTTGGCCAGACTAATCTTGAACTCTTGGCCTCAGGTGATCCACCCACCTCGGGCTCCCAAAGTGCTGAAATTGCAGGTGTCAGCCACCATGCCCAGCCCATCCAATGGACTTTGACAAAGGTGCCAAGAACTCACAATCAGGAAAGGACAGTCTTTTCAATAAACAGTGCAGGGAAACCTGGACATCTACATGCAGAGGAATGAAACTGCACCTCTGCCTGTCACTATACACAAAAATCAAATGAAAATGGATTAAAGATGTGAGTCTAAGGCCTGAACCTATGAAACACGTAGAAGAAAATATTGGGGAAATGCTCCAGGACGTTTGTCTGAAGGAAGACATTTTGTTTTAAACCTTCAAAACACAAGTAATCGAAGCAAAAATAGACCATTGGGATTACCTCAAACTAAGCAACTTCTGCACCGCTAAAAATAAACCAACAAAGTGAAGAGACAACCCACAGATTGGGAGCAAATATGTGCAAACTATGCATCTGAGATGGGATTAATAACTAGAAATATAAGAAGCTCAAACAACTCAATAAAACAAATGATTTAATTGAAAAAGGAGCAAAAGACATGAAATTTCCCCACATACGAAAAAGTGCTCAGTATCACTCATCATCAGAGAAACGCAAATTAAAATCAAAGTGAGTTTTCATCTCACCCCATTAAAATGGCTTTTAGGCCGGGCGTGGTGGCTCACGTCTGTCATCCTAGAACTTTGAGAGCCTGAGGTGGGTGAATCTCATAAGGTCGGGAGTTTGAGACCAGTCTGACCCACATGGAGAAACACTGTCTCTACTAAAAATACAAAAATTAGTCGGGCGTGGTGGCGTGTGCCTGTAATTCCAGCTACTCGGGAGGCTGAGGCAGGAGAATCGCTTGAACCTGGGAGGTGGAGGTTGTGGTGAGCCGAGATCGCACCACTGCACTCAGCCTGGGTGACAAGAGCGAAACTCCATCTCAAAATAAAATGAAATAAAATAAAATGGCTTTTAGCTGCAAGACAGGCAAAAGAAATGCTGGCAAGGTGTTAGAGAAAGGAGAATCCTGGTATCCTGTTGGTAGGAGTGTAAATTAGTACAGCCATTACGGAGAAAAGTGTGGAAGTCCTTTAAAGAACTAAAAAGAGGTTGGGTGAGGTGGATCATGCCTGTAATCCCGGCACTTTGGGAGACCGAGGCGGGCACCTCAGTTGAGGTCATGAGTTTGAGAGCAGCCCAGCCAACATGGGGAAACCGCATCTATACTAAAAAAAACAAAAAGTAGCCAGGCATGGTGGCGTGCGCCTATAATCCCTGATACTAGGGAGGCTGAGGCAGGAAAATCATTTGAACCCAGGAGGCAGAGGTTGCAATGAGCCAAGATGACATCACTTGTACTCCAGCCTGGGCACAGAGGGAAACTGTCTCAAAAACAAAAACAAAACAACAAACGAAAAACTAAAAAGAGAACTTTCATAGTATCCAGCAATTTCACTACTGGGTTTATATCCAAAGGAAAGTAAATCAATATATCGAAGTGATATCTGCACTCGTATGATTGGTGCAGCACTCTTCACAGTAGCCAAGATGAGGAGTCAACCTACCTGCCCATCAGTGGGTGAATGGATAGAGAGAATGTGGTACATTTGCATAGTGGAGACTACTCTTCCATAGAAAGAAAAACATCCTGATATTTGCAGCCACATGGATGGAACTGGAGGTCATTACAAAGATTCCCATTTCTTACCCATATACAGGAGCTAAAAGGTGGATCTCATGAAGGTAGAGAGTAGAATGGTGGCTACCAGAGGCCAGGAAGAAAAGGGTGGAGGGTAAAAAAAAATATGTGTGTATATATATATATTAATGTATTTATGACCACTAGACTTTACACTTAAAAATGGTAAATGTGGCTGGGCGTGGTGGCTCATGCCTGTAATCCCAGCACTTTGGGAGGCTGATGCGGATGGATCACGTGGTCAGGAGTTCCAGACCAGCTTGACCAACATGGTGAAACCCCCTCTCTACTAAAAATACAAAAAGTAGCCTGGCATGGTGGTGCACGCCTGTAGCACCAGCTACTCAGGTGGCTGAGGCAAGAGAATCGCTTGAACCCAGGAGGCGGAAGTTGCAGTGAGCTGAGATTGTGCCAATGCACTCCAGCATAGGGGACAGAGCTAGACTCCGCCTCAAAAAAAAAATGTTAAAGGTGGTAAGCTATATAGGTATATTTATCCTCAATAAATATTTCTCAAACAAAAGTAAAGGGTGTAGGGGTTGCAGGTGATGACATCCCTGTGTGGGTGGGAGGCCAGGATGGGCTTCTGGGAAATGGGTAATGTTGAGGGGCTGAGGGAACCTCTGATCTTCCCAAACTGAGCCCAGTCTCCCTCCTCTGGGTCTCTCCTGACCGCTTTCTCCATCTGCCTGGGTGCCTGGAGTCCTGGCCGCAGGCCTTCATGCAGGCCATGTAGGAGGGTTTGGAGGTGCCCTGTCTGCCATCCTGTGCCCTGATCCCTCCCTCACACCCAAGCTTCGTCTTCTCTCTGCATCTGTTCATCCTTCTCTCCATCCTCAGCAGGAAGCTCCTCAGCTAAGGCTCTAGGATCATAGGACATGGGACAGCCATGGGCTTTCCTCACCTGTGACAGAAACAAGCAGTGGGTCACTCGAGTTTGACCACTCGTAGGGAGAGTCACGGAAAGAGCCGAAGCATCTGTAGGTTCCTCCGTGGGTGGCAGGGCCCAGAGGAAAGTCAGCCTGGAATGTTCCGTTGACCTTGGGCCCTGCAGAGAACCTACGTTCATGGGCCTCCCCCTCCCTGGATAGATGGTACATGTCATAGGAGCTCCGGGAGCTGCAGGACAAGGTCACATTCTCTCCTGCCAGAACCGTGGGGCCCGGCTGGGCTGAGAGAGAAGGTTTCTCATATAGACCTGGAAGGAGAAGAGGCATTTTCCTTACGGAGGATCTTCCTTGTCACAGCTCCCTTCACCTGAGCTGAGAACTCACTCCCCTGCTCTATGACCTAATGCTCTCTCTCTCTGTCTCTCACCCTCCACCCCATCTCTCTTCATGTCTATTTCCTCCTTCCACCTTCTCTGTCTCTCTAGGTCTCTGACCTCGCTTCCACACCTCTAGATATGTTTTCCCTTTTTGGATTCTTTTATTCTCTCTGACTCTCCTTGGATTGGTTGACTTGATGTTACTTTTTTAAATTCTAAGTTTCTCACTTTGTGTCCTGTTCATAACTTTCTGCATATTTCTATCTATTATCTATCGATCTATCTATTTATCTATTCGGTGCCTATCTACAAATTCTCTACCTGTCATCTATGTCTATATATCATCTATGTATCTATCACTTGTCTATCTATCCATCAATCATCTGTTATCTATATCTATGTATCATCTCTCTCTCTATGACTTCTGTCTGCCTCTCTATCTCTATGTATTATCTATCTGTCTTCATCATCATCATCTCTATGTCTCATCTATTAATGAATCAATCAATCATCATCTATGTATCTTTAACCTATTATCTATCATCTACCTATTTATCATCTATCTATATCTAACCTTCTATCATCTGTCTTGCTCTGCCTCTCGGTCTCTCTAGTTCTCTTTGGAATCTCTGCAATTCATCCCCACATCTCCATCTTTCTATGTCCTTGTGCCTCTCCCTCAGGAGTCTAATTTTAGTGCTTTTCTCTGCTCCCTTCCATCATTCTCACCACTCCTCTGCCCTCTTTTCTCTCTCTTTATGTGTCTGTGAGTCTCTCAATCTCCTTCCTCTGGCTCATTCTCTGTGTGTTTATGTCTTTGCTTTTTGGTGTCCCTGATTTCTCTCTGTGCCTCTCAGTGATCCTTTCATATGTGGGGTTATTTGGAATGTGAGCCTCAGAATCCAGTCTGGAGACCACAAGTTCACACAGCATACAGGAGTTGGTGTTCTGGGGCCATGATATCCTGGGACGGTTACTCTCCATTACATGGAAGGCAGAGGTGTCAGAATAAACACGGCATCTGTAGGTGCCACAAGGCCTGAGGCCACAGGGCCCAACTCAGGTCAGAAATATGGGTGTCCTTGGGTTCTCCTGGTAGAGAACACTTTGTGGAGGTAAAACAGAAATGAAACTTCTAACCTGTGCCAGGTCTCTGAGCAAAGTCAGCATGGAGGGACACCTCTCTCTGGGACATGTCTGTCTGTCTGTCTCCTTTAACTCCTTCTGTCTTTTCTAACTCCCGGTATGGCCCCTGTGTCTGTCCTCTGTTATGACACCTGGTCTGTACTTGTGTCTCCTGTTTCTCTGTCTCTGTTGGTACAGACCTCACCAAGTCAGTCTCTCTCCATAAGAATACCAAGCTCATCTTCCTTACAACTACCTGGGGGTTCCAAGTCGTGGATCATTCACTCTGCATCCCAATGACAATGAGAAGAATGTCCGGACACTCTCACCTGTGATGACGATGTCCAGAGGGTCACTGGGAGCTGACAACTGATGGGGGAGTGAGTAACAGAACCGTAGCATCTGTAGGTCCCTGCCAGGTCTTCCATCATGGGACCGATGGAGAAGTTGGCCTTGGAAACCCCATCATGGTGCTCTCCAGTGAGGTGCAAAGTGTCGTTAAACTTCCCTTCTCTGTGCAGAAGGAAGTGCTCAAACCTGACATCTGACCAACATTGCAGGATGACTGTCTCTTCTGATTTCACCAGGGGACCTGGGTGGGCCAGGAGGGAAGGTTTTCTGTGGACTCCTAGGAAGAGAGGTTGTGAGTTTAGAAGGTGTCTCTCTTTATCATCCCATCCATGGCACCTAGAATGAGTGAGGCTTCCCCTTGCTGGTGTCTGTCTCTCTCCTTCCTCTCTGTGTCTTCATGTTCTTTTCTGTGCCCATAACTCCTGGTGCAGGTCCTTCCATCTGTCTCCCTCCCTCTTCTCTGTCCCTCTGTCTCTAGTCGCCTCTGATTCCCTTCCCACTGGGCTTAGCCTCATCTCTTGGGGTGTTGTATCTATTTCACACTAATGTCTTTCCTGCTGTTTATGTGGGGGTGAAAGAGGAACCAGGATAGGCTGCACATCCAGCCTCTTATCAGCCTGGTTCAATCTCTTTTGGATGAATTGGAATCCTTGGCAGTAGGTATGAACTGATGAATAAGGCAGGCACCAGTGTCCACACACCCTGTTCCTGGTCGGGACTGGGAGCCACTCTTGCCATGCCTGTGCCTTCTCCATGGTGCCAGCTTCCATAGGCTGGCTCCTGGTGCTGGTTTGAGGAGTATCAACCCCTCCCTATGTGGATGGAGCCTGGTGGTGGCATCATCATCCCACACTTGCTCATCTCGGTGTAGCCAACCTTCCCCTTGTTTGGTTCCTTTAATTAATTAATTAATTATGGAGACAGAGTCTCACTCCTTCACCCCAGCTGGAGTGAAGTGGTGTGGTCTAGGGTCACTGCAACCTCTGTCTCCTGGGTTCAAGTGATTCTCCTGCCCTCAGCCTCCCAAGTCGCTAGGATTACATGCGCCTGCCACCACACCCGGCTATCCTTGTGTTGTTTCTTACCTTGTCCTTGACCTGGGTTCCAGTGTTGGTTTCCTGTTGCTGCTGTAGAAAATTATCAGAAGCATGGCAGCAGGAGAGAGCACACTGACCCATTTCACTACTGGAGACAGAAATAGGACCCTGTTTTTCCTGGGCTAAAATCAAGGCATCTGCAGGGCTTCGTTCCCTCTGGAGACTCTGGAGAATCATTTCCTTGACTTTTCCAACCTCTACAGGCCACCTGCATTCATGGCTCCTGGCCTTCCTCCACCTTCAAAGCTGGTGGAGTCTCCCATTGCGCTGCTCTAATCCCCACTCCCCTCTTCCTCCTCCTTTCATGTGGACCCTTGTGATTACACTGAGCCCAGCGGGACAGTCCAGGCTGTCTCCCCATCTCAAGGTCAACTCATCAACAACCTGAGCTCCATCTTCCCCTTCAGTTCCTTCCCCTATAACATAAATAGTCACAGACTCCAGGGATTTGAATGTAGTCATCACTGGGGACAATTATTCTTCCCACCACAGCACCCATTTCCCTGTATTCAATCCCCCTTTACCCCAAATATAGTCAGGGCCTGGGTGATGGGACCCTCAAGGACACGCCCACCAGAAGCTCTGGGATTCAGGAGGTGGGAAAGGAGAATCCAAGACAGGAGCCCTCTGACCTGTGGCCATGATCACCAGGGTGTTGCTGGGTGCCGACCACCCACTGGGGTAGTGTGGGTGTGAACCCCGACATCTGTACGTCCCTGTGTGTGCTGGGGTCACAGGGCCCATGAAAAGGCTCTTCCAGAATATTCTGTTGTAGAGCTCAGTGCCAGGCACCCCATCTTCCTTTTACAGACTGAAGTTGTTAAACCCAAGATAAGAATGACACCGAAGAATCACATGTCCTGGAGGCACCACAGAGCTGGGCCAGGCAGACAGCAAGGGCTTGTCCTGACCACCTTGGGGAGAAGGAGGCACCGCCTTAGAGAGGAGGATGTGGAGCCACCCCTCCCTCCCTGTGCTCTGAAGATTCTCCTCGCTTTCCAAGTTTCTATGGCTGCTATCACACCTTGGTGCCCAGGGCTAAAGGAAGGACCCATCCCGCAAACACAAGGTGTCTCCCTACAACAAAAGTGTCAGCTGAGAACTTTGAGCAAGTGCTGAGTAAGAGACTCCTACTAGATTTTAATACTGTAAGATTACTCACATAAAACAACACAGGGTAGACATGGGGTGGAGGGCATGTCTTTGAGAATGGAATATCAGCAGATGCCTGAATGAAAATAAGCAACTGAGCCCCCATCAGAGGATTTGGAATGTCAGGGCCATGGCTGTGGTTTCCCACCTCTTCTGGTGGAGTGACAGCAGCCACACTGCAGCCCCTACCGTCATGGAAACGCTGAAGTGTGAGTAACACCTTTGTCCTCAGAGGATCTGCTGTTCCTACCACTTCCCCACCACGCACCCCAGCTTTGAGCACCCCAGTCTAACCCTGGTCCCCACAGAACTTGACTCTGCCAAGGGAATGAAAGGCCAGGGAGGCGAGGTCGGAACTGTGGGCCGAGCACCCCAGGGTCCCCTCTTCCTAGTTTATGAGAGGCTCCCTGACAGGACTTCCCTCCTGTTTCAGGAAAATCCTCTTATGTGGGGAGATGACACCCGAAGGTTTGGAGAAGGACTCACCCTCATGTGGCCAGGCCCCCTGCAGCAAGAAGAACCCTGGAAAGAAAGATCATGATGGACGATCCATCTGCAGGCAAACCAGGGCACCCTTGCTGCCCTCACTGGGCTGTGAGTCTTGGTAGGCAGGCCCTTCCTGGACTGAAGTTAAACTCACCCTCAGTGCCTACCTGCACCCAAGAACAGGGCTGTCGGCTGTGCAGAGACCCAGCCTCCAAGCCCAGATCCCCACCACAAGCCCATATCCCCACCACAAGCCCATATCTCCACTCCAGGCCAATATTTCCACCCTAGGCCTGTATCTCCACTCCAGGCCCATATCTCCACTCCAGGCCGATATTTCCATCATAGGCCCATATCGCCAATCCAGGCCCATATCGCCAATCCAGGCCAAGATCTCCACTGTAAGCCCATATCTCCAATCCAGGCCCATATCTCCACCCCAGGCTCAGATCTCCACCCTAGGCCCATATCTCCAATCCAGGCCCATATCTCCACACCAGGCCCATATCTCTACTGAAGGCCAGTAACTCCACCTCCAGGCCCATATCTCCACTCCAGGCCCAGATCTCCACCCCAAGCCCATATCTCCACCCCAGGCCCATATCTCTACTGAAGGCCCGTAACTCCACCTCCAGGCCCATATCTCCACCCCAGGCCCAGATCTCCACCCCAAGCCCATATCTCCACTCTAGGCCCATATCTCCTCTCCAGTCCCATATCTCCACAACCAGGCCCATATCTCCATCCTAGGCCCATATTTCCACTCTAGGCCCAGATATCCACCTCTAGGCCCATATCTCCACTCCTGGCCCAAATCTCCACTCCAGGCCCATATCTCTACTATAGGCCTATAACTCCACCTCCAGGCCCATGTCTCCACTCCAGGCTCCTATCTCCCCTCCAGGTTCCTATCGGCACTCCAGGCCCAGATCTCCACTTCTAGGCCCATCACTCCATCTCTAGGCCCATATATCCACTCCAGGCCCAGATCTCCACTCCAGGCCCACAACTCCACCTCCAGGCCTATATCTCCACCTCTGGGCCCAGATCTCCAACCCCACACTCCCTTCCTCTATTCCCTTCCAGGACTCACCAACACACGCCACGCTGACGACCGTGAGCGACATGGTGCTGCCGGTGCAGACAGGCGGCCGCGCCCCAGCTCAGCTCAGCAGCGCACAGGATGTTATTTGGCGCCCTGCCCATGCAGTTTACATGTTGACCACATCATGGGAGGGTGACGTACGCAGGCTCATTCTACCTTGCATGAGGCCCAGTGGGTGCTCGCTCAAGAGCGGAACACGGCTTCCTGGAAATTGTTCTCACTAGAATTTACACCTAGCGTCCTTCACTATGACCAACTCAAAACACGTCTCAGATCCAACCTCCTGAACACGAGATGCCTAAAATCTGTGCTAACGTGAAAGACTTTTCATGTATTTTTATTGTTTTTATCTGAGATTCAAACTCTTCTTCATGTGTAATATGCAAAATATCTAATAGGTATTATTAAGGTTTTCAGAGTCATTGTGACTAATAAACCATTAGAATTTTTCATGCTTGTATTTCTAGTATTACAGCAGAACCAGTTAAAATGATTTAAATTCCCAGGGAAGGATTATGCAATTATTTACAATCTTTGAATTGTACGTTATCAGCAAAAACCACACATTTAAACTCTGGATTTTTGTAGATTTATCTAAAATTTGTCTCATGACCCAAGTTTCCAGAGTCCCAACTCTGGAGTTTGTTCTCTCTCTGTCTCTCTGCCTCCCTCATTTTAAATTTTACAGAAATATCCAGTAACATAATGCTATAGAAAATCAAGTTTCCCCCAGCACGTCGGGAAGCCGAGGTGGGCGGATCAACTGATATAAGGAGTTTGAGAGCAGCCTGGCAACACAGTGAAACCGTGTCTCTGCTAAAAATCCAAAAATTAGCCGTGCCCAGTGGCAGGAACTTGTAACGCCAGCTACCCAAGAGGCTGAGGCACGAGAATCGCTTGAACCTGGGAGGCGGAGGTTGCAGTGAGCTGAGATTGCACCACTGCAGTCCAGCCTGGGCGACAGAGCAAGACTCCGCCTCAAGAAAAAAAAAAGCAAATAGCCTATAATAACAAATTAGAGGGCTCTGGCTACTAAATTTAAAGGGTTCTATAAGGCTACATAAAGTGTAGCATCATCAAGAGTGTGGACACAGACAGCCCCTTAGCAGAAACTGTCTAAAATACATCCATGTACACACAGTCCCTTTAGAGTTGACAAAGGCTGCCGTGTGGTTTAAGGTGGCATAGAATGTCTTCTCAATAAATAATATTAAACCAATGGGTTACACCTAGTAAAAAATAAATCTAACTCACACTATAAAAACACTTCTTAGTTTTTATCTAGTTGTACATTTTTTGATTTATATTTAAATTTGAGAAATAAAAGTCATATACGGTCATCCTTCACTATTCGTGGGTGATTGGTTTCGAGATCTCCACTCAGATACCAAAATCTGTAGATGCTCAAGCCTCTTATATGAAATGGCACAGCGCTTGCAAATAACATATGCACATCCTCCTGTATACATGAAATCATCTCTTGATTACTTATAATTCCTGATACAGCCTACACACAGCTTCATTTGTGTCCATTCAACATAGTTATGAGTTTTGGAACTCTGTGGATATTTTCTCTGAATATTTTTGATTTATACTTTGTTCAATAAAGACCTGTAAACCCCACAGATACGGAGGAGTGACCGTATATTTATAGTATGAAAGATGATGTGTTGATATGTGTCCCCATGGAGATGAGACTAACAAGGCCTATGACTCTACAAATGTTTCATTGTGGAATGACTCTGCCAGCTTTCCAGGTCTGCAGAGAGTAACAATGTCACTTGTTCATGTGATTCCCGATCCTTGGAACCTCCTATGTGCTGCATCTTTGGATGGAAATTGGAGTCCCAGAGACAAATGAGGCTCCACACTGCTTCCAGAAGCTCAGAGTCCAGAGGTGAGAACCCCGTGGAGAACAGATGGGATTATATGGACATGGTACTGATAACACCGGAAGCCTTAGGCAAGAAAAGAGTCCCATTACCTAAACCATGAGGGCAGACATGTTTATTTGAAGGAGGGAAAACTACATTGAAATTATTTTAAAAAATATATAAGTTTTACTGCTGACAGAAGGCTGAAAGCTAGTCTGAGGGGAGGTGGAACAGCATGAGGGAAGGTGGAACAGCACGTGTCTAAGTGCCGTGTTAAGAGGGAGCCTCTTGTATGTTTGGAATTGTGAGTTCCTCAGTGTGATTGCAGCCTCAAATAGACTAGGAAGTAAGCCAGTTAGGTTGGAGAGGTGGGCAGGGGTCAAGTGAAATGGAGAATTGTGGGCTAAGCAAAGGAGTGTGTTTTCTCTCCAGCAGGCAGTGGGGACCTTAGACATTTGTAAGCAAGAGAGAGGCACGTTCAGATTTGTGGTGTGAGGAAGAGCGATGCCCTAAGATGCAGACTCACGCCTTCAGATTCCAGCTGCTGGTACATTGGAGCTGGCAACCCAGTTTTGAGACAGGGCTGTTGTCTCCCTAGAAGATCCCCTCAAGGCCTGACTGTGGTGCTCATGGGCAGGAGACAACTTTGGATCAGGGCTCAGCATTTGGAAGTTCCGTGTACACGATGATATCTGTTGGGGGTGTCTTGGGCCTCTGAGAAGGGTGAGTGATTTTTCTCTGTGTGAAAACGCAGTGATTCAACTGTGCATATGTCACCTCCTGAGGGTCTTGTTCATCAGAGTCCTGGAGAGAGGGAAATCCTGAGTGAGGGAGGGTGCTCACATTTTCCAGGACTCTTTGGGAATAACACTAGCCACGAGGCTGGGCCGAGGAGCACCTACCTCCCTGTTCACTGTTCTGTTCCCTGCAGGCTCTTGGTCCATTACAACAGCATCTGTAGAAGACGGAAGTCAACAAAACAGCTCAGAGGGCACTTCTGGGCCCTCATTTCATAAGCAGATACCAACATACAGGGGGAGACCATAGGAGCCTGAGGTCCCTCAGTTGCCAACAGCAGACTCAGACATTCTATCTCTCTGAGCTCAAGGACCCATCCCATGAATAGCTCTGAGTTCCCATCCCATTGATTCTGTCTCCCACTTTCTGCCTGTCATGGAACCTTCTCCTGGATGTGAGTGGCTGCAGGGGACATGAGGATACAGTTCAGAATCAGGCAATGGTCTGTGAGCTGAAGGCAGGGACAGGGAGTCTGGTGCTCTCTCTAGAAAGTCCTCCCTCTGTGGCTGCTGCCTTGGGCCAGGGACCATCCTGTCTGTGAGGAACACACACCTGAGTGCTCCCATCCTGCTTCCCCACATGGCCCTGAGCTCTCTGGCCTCTGCTTCGTGAGACTTACTTTTTTTGTTGCAGCACCAGCGATGAAGGAGAAAGAAGAGGAGGAGGATGAAGAGGATGATGACCACTGAGGTCCCAATCAGAACATGCAGGTGTCTGGGGTTACCTGGAAGAAGAGGAGACACCAATAAGAAGCTAATCATAGCAGTTCCTCTTTATGAATTGTCTCACATTTCTTGATTGACAGGTAACCACATACAACACCCCTTTAGGACAAGCACCCAGATGGAGGGAGACCCAGCTTTCTCCTGCTTTCTCAGTTATAGCTCTCATAGTAACCATAGAACGTGTTGAGGATACAACTACTTTAGTTGAGATGTTTGACCCCTTCAAACCTCACATTGAAATTTCACCCCCACTGTGGGAGGTTGGGCCTCTTGAGAGGTGTTTGGGTCATGGAGGTGGATCCATCATGAACAGACCAATGCTGTCCCAAGGAGACGGGGTTAGCAAGTTCCCCTTCTATTAGTTCCTGGAGAGCTGGTTGTTCAAAAGAGCTTGGAAGCTCCATCGCTCCCCCTCCCCCTTGCTCCCTCTCTTGCCGTGTGATCTCTGTGGTCTCTGCACAGACAGACCCTCCTTCCCTTCTGCCAGAGTGGGAGCAGCCTGAGGCCGTCACGAGAAATAGATGCTGGTGCCACGCTTCCAGTATAGCCTGCAGAACTGTGAGGCAAACCAATCTCTTTTCTCTAGAAGTTACCCAGGCTCAAGTGTTCCTTTAGAGCAACAAAAATGGACTAAGACAGCAACGTCCTGAGATCAGGAGGAACGTCTCAGAACAGCCTGGGCTGTCTTCCTGTTCTTCCTGGAGGAGGACGTCATGCAGTGCTTTAGCTGAGTGCTTCCTGTGGCTCCACAGTACAAAACCCAGGCTGGGCTGCTCTCTGGCTTCCCCCAGCTACACTGCAAATGGGGTGACTCCATATGTCCCGAGGAGCTTTTCTGAGCCTTGAGGGACTGGCTCACATTGAAATGTAGGTTTCTGTTGTCACTCGCTGCTTATCTGTTAGTAATGAACCTGCCTGTGTAATGTATTCTCTGTGTGTTCTGTCTCCCTGGAGTGACGGTGAGTGATAGGAATTGGCATAAGCCCAGGTGCAGTCCAGGAGGTATTTAGAGTCTTCTCTGGGAAGACTGCACTGGGATTGATACACAGCGAATGTGCTTTAGGATTTCTACATCCACAGCATTCTTGAATCAAACAACTTGCATTCTCCAAGAAAAGGAAACAAAAGTGAAATCAAGATAAAAAAAGCTAAGTAGAATTCTCTTATGTCAAATGGCCAGGAAATAGTGTTGAAGCCCGTGTGAAACGTGCTACTCTTTGTGATCTCGGGAGACACATGTTAGGCTGCTGTTCTACCCGAGAGGCTGGGGGAAGGACCACCCCCTCGGCCATCTATTGCTTCAATACCACCTGTCCTCCTGTGAATTAGTAGGAAAGGGGAGCAGGAGCTAGTGCTGGCACTGATCTCTGATTCCAAGATCTGGACTCACTCCAAGGAGTATCAATGTTTACCTCCCCATAGCCTATCTGAATCTCCACAGGTGATTGGAAGTAGGGGTGAGGTGGGGGATTTGGGTGAGTGGGCAAGTTTTTTGTTGCGATGAACAGAGCACTTTCTCTATTCCACGATCTGTGCTGGAGGATTCTGAGGGCTTTCACATTTTCTATGTGATCTCATTCTCACAGAAAGCCAAATAGGGAAGAGGTTTTAAGCTCATTGCCTAATGGATAAGATAAAGGATCAAAGAAGTAATTATAGAGAAATAGAAAAACGATGATTGGAATTCAGGTGCCTTTGTCATTCGTGTGTGTTTTATTATATTTATGTATTTCTTATTTTTATTTTTTGAGATAGAGTCTCCTTGTGTCCCCCAGGCTGGAGTGCAGTGATGCAATCTCCACTCACTGCAACCTCCACCTACTGGGTTGAAGTCGTTCTCCTGCTTCATCCTCCAGAATAGGAGCTGGGATTACAGGGATGCACCATCGTGCTCGGCTAATTTTTGTATTTTTAGTAGAGATAGGGTTTCACCACGTTGGCCAGGCTGGTCTGGAACTCCTGACTTCATGGAATCCACCCACCTTGGCCTCCTGCAGTGCTAGGTTACAGGCGTGAGCCACTGTTCACAGACTTGTATATTATGCTATAATAAGTCTCTTCATTTCCACCACCACTCATATATCTGTCACTCCTTTGCCAGGTATTGATTTATGTGTAGGATGAATAAATCTCAGAAAGAAATTAATTAAGCGAGGATTAAACAAGTAGGAAAATCAAACCCAGTAAGCCTTTCCAGTCAACGATTCTACCTCACAAACATATCTTATATCCATCTACTTCATTCATTTAGTGTCTAAATCAGCACCACATTTCACCAGTGGGGCGGCAATTGCCTTTTCCACGGTCTCCTAGATTCCAGTTATGCAACTGAGCCTCCCTTATTTTCATGTCCGTCATATTAATCATGTAGGGATTCCTGGTTACCCCGAGGTGAATCCAATGGCTGTGAGTGTCAAACACACACTCCTTGTTGCTCCTTAGTTTCCTGTGTACCCAGTGTGCTCTCCGTCTCCCTACAGTCGTCTTGTCATTCTCCCCACCTCATTCCCAGCATTTGAGGCAGAGCCTCTTCCTTCCACATCAGATTGTTTTCACCTTTGTGCCTTCACGGCTGACAGCTGTGTGTGCAAAATCCTTCCGCCAATCTTTCAGGGGTTCAATCCGTGTTTTTCATTAATGTCACAAATATCTGAATAGAGAGACCTTCTTTGTCACCTGAAATCATACACTCAGCATTATCTATTATTGATTTTGAATTCTGGCTGGGCACAGTGGCTCACGCCTGTAGTCCCATTACTTTGGCATGCTGAGACGGTCGGATCACTTGAGGTTGGGAGTTTCAGACAAGCTTGGCCAACGTGGTGAAACATCCTTTCTACAAAAAATATACAAAAAGAATTAGCCGGGCACGGTGGCAGTTGCCTGTAATCCCAGCTACTCGAGAGGCGGAGGCAGGAGAATCACTTGAATCCAGGAGACGCAGGTTGCAGTGAGCCAAGATCGTGACACTGCACTGTAGCCTGGAAGACAGAGGGCGACTCTGTCTCAATAAACAAAAGAACAAACAAAAAATAGATTTCATGCACAGATGCTTCCCAATGGATCATTCATTTATAGATCCACTTGTGCATTCATTTTCTGCCCTCCCATTTAACCATCTGCAATATCAGTGTCCCAAGGGCAGAGGCCAAATGCATCTTGTTCACCGTTTGTGGAAGGCAGGAGAATGCTGTCCCACCCCAAAATGTCCCTGTCCTAGCCTCCATAGCTTGTGAATATGTTATTTTACATGGAAAGGAGGAATGAAGATTGTAGATGGAATTGCGGTTGCTAATCAGCTGAACTTAAAACAAGGGTATCCTGGATGATTTCCAGGAGATTATGAGGGATTTTCATCTTGGTGAACCCAATAGAATCCCCAAGTTTTCAAAAGATAAGGAAGAAGGGAGAGCAGCATTCAGAGAAAGAGGTGTGGTAAGGAAGAAGGCACTGAGTGATGCCATGTGAGATGTGACCAGTCTTTGTGGGCTTTGAGGAAGGAGGAAGGGGAACAGGAGCCAAGGAACTGGGAGCCTTTAGAAGCTGGGATAAGTGAGAAGCAGATTCTTGCCTGGAATCCTCAGAGGGAAGGCAGCCTTGCTGTCACCTTGATTTTAGCCCAGTAAGATGCACTTCCTACTTTGAGCTACAGCACTGTAAGATAATTAAAAAACCGTTTTGTTTTCACCCACGAATCTTGTGGAAATTTGTTATGGCAACAATAGGAAAAGGTTCCGCACTGCACAGCCTGAGCATGGGGCCGTGGCTGAATGAGTCAGTGAGTCGAAGTGTGCGTGCATGAGCTCCGTTCTCTGTTACGGCAAGGCTGTTGCTCTGCTGAGTCAGCCAGGGTTGCTTCATGACCAACAGTAATTCATTCCTTGGCAAGTGGAACTTCTCTAAAACACCTCGCCCTCATCAGATGTTCCCTTCCCTTCCCTCTCTCAAGCCCCCAGGAATTTATCCTCCAGTTAGGAATGCAGGCAGAACAAACATTGCATTTTTCCTGAGAAGGATGTCAGATTGGCAATCATTCTTCTAGCTTGTAGGAGATCTCAGCTCCATAAAATGAGAGATTAAGAGATTTCACTGAGCCCTAGGTTGGGCCCAGATCCCTTTCGCTGTTGGAGTATCTGGAGTTCGGAGATGGTAGAAGACAGGCGTACAATGTCAGAGCTGCGAGATGCTGAGTCAATGCCTGCATCGAAGGTTTCTACCTCCCCAGGTTTCCAAAAGCGGATATAAGAGGGTTCTGTACTCACCGGTTTCGGAGCTTGGTTCAGTGGGTGAAAGCCAACTATTTGAAGGGTTTCCTAGAACATGAGACAGGAGAGAGGTGAGGAAATGAGGGTGTCTGTCCTCTACTCAATGGAACTCTTTGAGGTTGGTTCATGGCCAACACTCTGTTATCTAATATTGGGCCCTGGGAGTCCTGGGATCCTTTTTTCCGTAATTTTTGTATGTGACGCCCACTGTCTTGAGACTTCAAGGTATAAAGAGAAAACAGGAGCATCACACTACCTGATCTCAAAATATGTTACAGAGCTGTAGTAAGCAAAACAGCATCACATTGGCATAAAGAAAGGCACGTAGAACAATGGAGCAGAATGAAGAACACAGATATAATCCATGCATTTACCTCCAATGTTTTTTTCTTTTTTCTTTTGAGATGGAGTCTCGCTCTGTCGCCCAGGCTGGAGTGCAGAGGTGCAATCTCGGTTCACTGCCACCACAGCCTCCTGGGTTCAATCAATTCTCTGGCCTCAAACTCCTGAGTAGTGGTATTACAGGTGCTGACCACCATGCTCAGCTAATTTTTATATTTTTAGTGGAGACAATGTTTCATCACGTCGGCCAGACTAATCTTGAACTCCTGGCCTCAGGTGATCCACCCGCCTTGGGCTCCCAAAGTGCTGAAATTGCAGGTGTCAGCCACCATGCCCAGCCCATCCAATGGACTTTGACAAAGGTGCCAAGAACTCACAATCAGGAAAGGACAGTCTTTTCAATAAACAGTGCAGGGAAACCTGGACATCTACATGCAGAGGAATGAAACTGCACCTCTACCTGTCACTATACACAAAACTCAAATGAAAATGGATTAAAGATGTGAGTCTAAGGCCTGAACCTATGAAACACGTAGAAGAAAATATTGGGGAAATGCTCCAGGACATTTGTCTGAAGGAAGACATTTTGTTTTAAACCTTCAAAACACAAGTAATCGAAGCAAAAATAGACCATTGGGATTACCTCAAACTAAGCAACTTCTGCACCGCTAAAAATAAACCAACAAAGTGAAGAGACAACCCACAGATTGGGAGCAAATATGTGCAAACTATGCATCTGAGATGGGATTAATAACTAGAAATATAAGAAGCTCAAACAACTCAATAAAACAAATGATTTAATTGAAAAAGGAGCAAAACACATGAAATTTCCCCACATACTAAAAAGTGCTCAGTTTCACTCATCATCAGAGAAACACAAATTAAAATCAAAGTGAGTTTTCATCTCACCCCATTAAAATGGATTTTAGGCCGGGCGTGGTGGCTCACGTCTGTCATCCTAGACCTTTGAGAGCCTGAGGTGGGTGAATCTCATAAGGTCGGGAGTTTGAGACCAGTCTGACCCACATGGAGAAACACTGTCTCTACTAAAAATACAAAATTTAGTTGGGCGTGGTGGCGTGTGCCTGTAATTCCAGCTACTCGGGAGGCTGAGGCAGGAGAATCGCTTGAACCTGGGAGGTGGAGGTTGTGGTGAGCCGAGATCGCACCACTGCACTCCAGCCTGGGTGACAAGAGCGAAACTCCATCTCAAAATAAAATGAAATAAAATAAAATGGCTTTTAGCTGCAAGACAGGCAAAGGAAATCCTGCCAAAGTGGTAGAGAAAGGAGAACCCTAATACCCTGTTGGTAGGAGTGTAAATTAGTACAGCCTTTACGGAGAAAAGTGTGGAAGTCCTTTAAAGAACTAAAAAGAGGTTGGGTGAGGTGGATCATGCCTGTAATCCCGGCACTTTGGGAGACCGAGGCGGGCACCTCAGTTGAGGTCATGAGTTTGAGAGCAGCCCAGCCAACATGGGGAAACCGCATCTATACTAAAAAAAACAAAAAGTAGCCAGGCATGGTGGCGTGCACCTGTAATCCCAGCTACTAGGGAGGCTGAGGCAGGAAAATCATTTGAACCCAGGAGGCGGAGGTTGCAATGAGCCAAGATGACTTCACTTGTACTCCAGCCTGGGCACAGAGGGAAACTGTCTCAAAAACAAAAACAAAACAACAAACGAATAACTAAAAAGAGAACTTTCATAGTATCCAGCAATTTCACTACTGGGTTTATATCCAAAGGAAAGTAAATCAATATATCGAAGTGATATCTGCACTCGTATGATTGGTGCAGCACTGTTCACAGTAGCCAAGATGTGGAGTCAACCTACCTGCCCATCAGTGGATGAATGGATAGAGAGAATGTAGTACATACGCACAGTGGAGACTACTCATCCATAGAAAGAATAACATCCTGATATTTGCAGCCACATGGATGGAACTGGAAGTCATTACAAAGATTCCCATTTCTCACCCATATACAGAGCTAAAAGGTGGATCTCATGAAGGTAGAGAGTAGAATGGTGGCTTCCAGAGGCCAGGAATAAAAGGGTGGAGGGTAAAAAAAAAAAAAAAAAAAAAAAAATATATATATATATATATATATATATATATATATATATATGTATATATGTGTGTGTGTGTGTATATATATATATATATATATATATATATATATATATATATATATATATATATATAAATGTATTTATGACCACTAGACTTTACACTTAAAAATGGTAAATGTGGCTGGGCGTGGTGGCTCATGCCTGTAATCCCAGCACTTTGGGAGGCAGATGCGGGTGGATCACGTGGTCAGGAGTTGGAGACCAGCTCGACCAACATGGTGAAACCCCCTCTCTACTAAAAATACAAAAAGTAGCCTGGCGTGGTGGTGCGCGCCTGTAGCACCAGCTACTCAGGTGGCTGAGGCAGGAGAATCACTTGAACCCAGGAGGCGGAAGTTGCAGTGAGCTGAGATTGTGCCACTGCACTCCAGCATAGGGGACAGAGCTAGACTCTGCCTCAAAAAAAAAAAAAATGTTAAAGGTGGTAAGCTATATAGGTATATTTATCCTCAATAAATATTTCTTCAAACAAAAGTAAAGGGTGTAGGGGTTGCTGGTGATGACATCCCTGTGTGGGTGAGAGGCCAGGATGGGCTTCTGGGAAATGGGTAATGTTGAGGGGCTGAGGGAACCTCTGATCTTCCCAAACTGAGCCCAGTCTCTCTCCTCTGCGTCTCTCCTGACCGTTTTCTCCATCTGCCTGTGTGCCTGGAGCCCTGGCCGCGGGCCTTCATGCAGGCCGTGTAGGAGGGTTTGGAGGTGCCCTGTCTGCCATCCTGTGCCCTGATCCCTCCCTCACACCCAAGCTTCGTCTTCTCTCTGCATCTGTCCATGCTTCTCTCCATCATCAGCAGGAAGCTCCTCAGCTAAGGCTCTAGGATCATAGGACATGAGACAGATATGGGGTTTCCTCACCTGTGACAGAAACAAGCAGTGGGTCACTCGAGTTTGACCACTCGTATGGAGAGTCACGGAAAGAGCCGAAGCATCTGTAGGTTCCTCCGTGGGTGGCAGGGCCCAGAGGAAAGTCGGCCTGGAATGTTCCGTTGACCTTGGGCCCTGCAGAGAACCTACGTTCATGGGCCTCCCCCTCCCTGGATAGATGGTACATGTCATAGGAGCTCCGGGAGCTGCAGGACAAGGTCACGCTCTCTCCTGCCAGAACCGTGGGGCCCGGCTGGGCTGAGAGAGAAGGTTTCTCATATAGACCTGGAGGAGAAGAGGCATTTTCCTTACGGAGGATCTTCCTTGTCACAGCTCCCTTCACCTGAGCTGAGAACTCACTCCCCTGCTCTATGACCTAATGCTCTCTCTCTCTCTCTCTCACCCTCCACCCCATCTCTCTTCATGTCTATTTCCTCCTTCCACCTTCTCTGTCTCTCTAGGTCTCTGACCTCGCTTCCCCACCTCTAGATATGTTTTCCCTTTTTGGATTCTTTTATTCTCTCTGACTCTCCTTGGATTGGTTGACTTGATGTTACTTTTTTAAATTCTAAGTTTCTCACGTTGTGTCCTGTTCATAACTTTCTGCATATTTCTATCTATTATCTGTCGATCTATCTATTTATCTATTCGGTGTCTATCTACAAATTCTCTACCTGTCATCTATATCTATATATCATCTATGTATCTATCACTTGTCTATCTATCCATCAATCATCTGTTATTTATATGTATGTATCATCTCTCTCTCTATGATTTCTGTCTGCCTCTCTATCTGTACGTATTATCTGTCTTCATCATCATCATCTCTATGTATTATCTATTAATGAATCAATCAATCATCATCTATGTATCTTTAACCTATTATCTATCATCTACCTATTTATCATCTATCTATATCTATCCATCTATCATCTGTCTTGCTCTGCCTCTCGGTCTCTCTAGCTCTCTTTGGAATCTCTGCAATTCATCCCCACATCTCCATGTTTCTATGTCCTTGTGCCTCTCTCTCAGGACTCTAATTTTAGTGCTTTTCTCTGCTCCCTGCCATCATTCTCACCACTCCTCTGCCCTCTTTTCTCTCTCTTTATGTGTCTGTGAGTCTCTCAATCTCCTTCCTCTGGCTCATTCTCTGTGTGTTTATGTCTTTGCTTTTTGGTGTTCCTGATTTTTCTCTGTGCCTCTCAGTGATCCTTTCATATGTGGGGTTATTTGGAATGTGAGCCACAGAATCCAGTCTGGAGACCACAAGTTCACACAGCATACAGGGGTTGGTGTTCTGGGGCCATGATATCCTGGGACGATTACTCTCCATTACATGGAAGGCAGAGGTGTCAGAATAAACATGGCATCTGTAGGTGCCACAAGGCCTGAGGCCACAGGGCCCAACTCAGGTCAGAAATATGGGTGTCCTTGGGTTCTCCTGGTAGAGAACACTTTGTGGAGGTAAAACAGAAATGAAACTTCTAACCTGTGCCAGGTCTGTGAGCAAAGTCAGCATGGAGGGACACCTCTCTCTGGGACATGTCTGTCTGTCTGTCTCTTTTAACTCTTTCTGTCTTTTCTAACTCCCTGTATGGCCCCTGTGTCTGTCCTCTGTTATGACACCTGGTCTGTACTTGTGTCTCCTGTTTCTCTGTCTCTGTTGGTACAAACCTCAGCAAGTCAGTCTCTCTCCATAAGAATACCAAGCTCATCTTCCTTACAACTACCTGGGGGTTCCAAGTCGTGGATCATTCACTCTGCATCCCAATGACAATGAGAATGTCCGGACACTCTCACCTGTGATGACGATGTCCAGAGGGTCACTGGGAGCTGACAACTGATAGGGGGAGTGAGTAACAGAACCGTAGCATCTGTAGGTCCCTGCAAGGTCTTGCATCATGGGACCGATGGAGAAGTTGGCCTTGGAGACCCCATCATGGTGCTCTCCAATGAGGTGCAAAGTGTCCTTAAACTTCCCTTCTCTGTGCAGAAGGAAGTGCTGAAACCTGACATCTGACCAACATTGCAGGATGACTGTCTCTTCTGATTTCACCAGGGGACCTGGGTGGGCCAGGAGGGAAGGTTTTCTGTGGACTCCTAGGAAGAGAGGTTGTGAGTTTAGAAGGTGTCTCTCTTTATCATCCCATCCATGGCACCTAGAATGAGTGAGGCTTCCCCTTGCTGGTGTCTGTCTCTCTCCTTCCTCTCTGTGTCTTCATGTTCTTTTCTGTGCCCTTAACTCCTGGTGCAGGTCCTTCCATCTGTCTCCCTCCCTCTTCTCTGTCCCTCTGTCTCTAGTAGCCTCTGATTCCCTTCCCACTGGGCTTAGCCTCATCTCTTGGGGTGTTGTATCTATTTCACACTAATGTATTTCCTGCTGTTTATGTGGGGGTGAAAGAGGAACCAGGATAGGCTGCACATCCAGGCTCTTATCAGCCTGGTTCAATCTCTTTTGGATGAATTGCAATCCTTGGCAGAAGGTATGAACTGATGAATAAGGCAGGCACCAGTGTCCACACACCCTGTTCCTGGTGGGGACTGGGAGCCACTCTTGCCATGCCTGTGCCTTCTCCATGGTGCCAGCTTCCATAGGCTGGCTCCTGGTGCTGGTTGGAGGAGTATCAACCCCTCCCTATGTGGATGGAGCCTGGTGGTGGCATCATCATCCCACCCTTGCTGATCTCAGGGTAGCCAACCTTCTCCTTGTTTGGTTTCTTTAATTAATTAATTAATTTTGGAGACAGAGTCTCACTCCTTCACCCAGGCTGGAGTGAAGTGGTGTGGTCTAGGCTCACTGCAACCTCTGTCTCCTGGGTTCAAGTGATTCTCCTGCCCTCAGCCTCCTGAGTCGCTAGGATTACATGCACCTGCCACCATGCCTGGCTTTCCTTGGGTTGTTTCTTAACTTGTCCTTGACCTGGGTTCCAGTGTTGGTTTCCTGTTGCTGCTGTAGAAAATTATCAGAAGCATGGCAGCAGGAGAGACCACACTGACACCTTCCAGTACTGGAGACAGAAATTGGACCCTATTTTTCCTGGGCTAAAATCAAGGCATCTGCAGGGCTTTGTTCCCTCTGGAGACTCTGGAGAATCAGTTCCTTGACTTTTCCAGCCTCTATAGGCCACCTGCATTCATGGCTCTTGGCCTTCCTCCACCTTCAAAGCTGGTGAAGACTTCCACTGGACTGCTCTAATCCCCACTCCCCTCTTCCTCCTCCTTTCATGTGCACCCTTGTGATTACACTGAGCCCAGTGGGACAGTCCAGGCTGTCTCCCCATGAGCTCCATCTTCCCCTTCAGTCCCTTCCCCTATAACATAAATAGTCACAGACTCCAGGGATTAGAATGTAGTCATCACTGGGGACAATTATTCTTCCCACCACAGCACCCATTTCCCTGTATTCAATCCCCCTTTACCACAAATACAGTCAGGGCCTGCGTGATGGGACCCTCAAGGACATGCCCACCAGAAGCTCTGGGATTCAGGAGGTGGGACAAGGAGAATCCAAGACAGGAGCCCTCTGACCTATGACCACGATCACCAGGGGGTTGCTGGGTGCTGACCACCCACTGGGGGAGTGTGTGTGTGAACCCCGACATCTGTATGTCCCTGTGTGTGCGGGGGTCACAGGGCCCATGAAAAGGCTGTTCCAGAATATTCTGTTGTAGAGCTCAGGGACAGGCACCCCACCTTCCTTGTACAGACTGAAGTTGTTAAACCCAAGATAAGAGTGACACCGAAGAATGACATGTCCTAGAGGCACCACAAGGCTGGGCCAGGCAGACAGCAAGGGCTTGTCCTGACCACCTTGGGGAGAAGGAGGCGCCGCCTTAGAGAGGAGGATGTGGAACTGCCCTTCCCTCCCTGTGCTCAGAAGATTCTCCTCGCTTTCCACGTTTCTATGGCTACTATCACACCTTGGTGCCCAGGGCTGAAGGAAGGACCCATCCCGCAAAGACATGGTGTCTCCCTACAACAAAAGCCTCAGCTGAGAACTTTGAGCAAGTGCTGAGTAAAGAGACTCCTACTAGATTTTAATACTGTAAGATTACTCACATAAAACAACACAGGGTAGACATGAGGTGGAGGGCATGTCCTTTGTGAATGGATATCAGCGGATGCCTGAACGAAAATAAACAACTGAGCCCCCATCAGAGGATTTGGAATGTCAGGGCCATGGCTGTGGTTTCCCACCTCTTCTGGTAGAATGACAGCAGCCACACTGCAGCCCCTACCATCATGGAAACGCTGAAGTGTGTGAGTAACACCTTTGTCCTCAGAGGATCTGCTGTTCCTACCACTTCCCAACCACACACCCCAGCTTTGAGCACCCCAGTCTAACCCTGGTCCCCACAGAACTTGACTCTGCCAAGGGGTTGAGAGGCCAGGGAGGCGAGGTCAGAAATGTGGGCTGAGCACCCCAGGGTCCTCTCTTCCTAGTTTATGAGAGACTCCCCGACAGGACTTCCCTCCTGTTTCAGGAAAATCCTCTTATGTGGGGAGATGACACCCGAAGGTTTGGAGAAGGACTCACCCTCATGTGGCCAGGCCCCCTGCAGCAAGAAGAACCCTGGAAAGAAAGATCATGATGGACCATCCATCTGCAGGCAAACCAGGCCTCCCTTGCTGCCCCCACTGGGCTGTGAGTCTTGGCAGCCAGGCCCTTCCTGGGCTGAAGTTAAACTCACCCTCAGTGCCTACCTGCACCCAAGAACAGGGCTGTCGGCTGTGCAGAGACCCAGTTTCCAGGCCCATATCCCCACCCCAAGCCCATATCTCCACTCCAGGCTGATATTTCCACCCTAGGCCCATATCGCCAATCCAGGCTCAGATCTCCACCCTAGGCCCCTATCTCCAATCCAGTCCCATATCTCCGCCCCAGGCCCAGATCTCCACCCTAAGCCCATATCTCCACTCCAGGCCCATATCACCTCTCCAGTCCCATATCTCCACACCCAGGCCCATATCTCCTTCCTAGGCCCATATCTCCACTCCAGGCCCAGATATCCACCTCTAGGCCCATAACTCCACTCCTGGCCCATATCTCCACTCCAGGCCCATATCTCTACTGCAGGCCCGTATCTCCACCTCCAGACCCATATCTCCACTCCAGGCCCATATCTCCACCTCCAGGCCCATATCTCCACCTCCAGGCCCATATCTCCACTCCAGGCCCATATCTCCACTCCAGGCCCATATCTCCACTCCAGGCCCCTATCTCTACTGCAGGCCCATATCTCCATCTCCAGGCCCATATCTCCATCTCCAGGCCCATGTCTCCACTACAAGCCCATATCTCTACTGCAGGCCCATATCTCAACCTCCAGGCCCATATCTCCACTCCAGGCCCAGATCTCCACTCCAGGCCCAGATCTCCACTTCTAGGCCCATCACTCCATCTCTAGGCCCATAACTCCACTTCCAGGCCTATATCTCCAACTCTGGGCCCCGATCTCCATCCCCGCACTCCCTCCCTCGATGCCCTTCCAGGACTCACCAACACACACCATGCTGACGACCATGAGCGACATGGTGCTGTCTGTGCAGACAGGCGGCCGCGCCCCAGCTCAGCTCAGCAGCGCACAGGATGTTATTTGGCGCCCTGCCCATGCAGTTTACATGTTGACCACATCATGGGAGGGTGACGTACGCAGGCTCTTTCTACCTTGCATGAGGCCCAGTGGGTGCTCGCTCAAGAGCGGAACATGGCTTCCTGGAAATTGTTCTCACTAGAATTGACACCTTGCGTCCTTCACTACGACCAGACTCAAAAGACGTCTCAGATCCAACCTCTCATACACGAGATGATTGAATTCTGTGCTTACATTAAAGATTTTTGATGTATTTTTGTTTTTATCTGAGATTCAAACTCTTCTTCATATGTAATGTGCAAAATGTCTAACAGGTATTATTAACATTATCAGAGTAATTGTGACAAGAAGCCATTCTAATTTTCCTGCTTGAGTTTCTACTACTAAACCAGAGGCATCAGAATAGCTTGAACCTGGGAGACGGAGGTTGCAGTGAGCTGAGCTCAAGCCACTGAACTCCAGCTTGGGTGACAGAGGAAGAGTCTGTCTCAAGAAAAAAAAAAAAAGCAAACTAAATAACCTATAATAACAAATCAGAGGACTCAGGTTACCAAATTTTAAGGGGTTCTATAAGTTTATATAAAATGCAGCATCCTCATGAGAGGGGATACAGAGAACCACTGGACAGAAAACTGTGTCTAAAATACATCTGTGGATACACAGTCCCTTTATAGTTGACAAAGGCTGCCATGTAGTTTAAGGTGGAATAGAATATTTTCTCAACAAATAACACAGGACCATAGGGTTACACGTAGGAAAAAATAAATCTAAACTTATCCTCACACTATAAAAACACTTCTTATTTTTTATCTTGTTGTTGTAAATTTTTTATGCTTTATTTTTAAGATTGACAAATAAAAATTATATACCATGGTCCTTCACTATACCTGGGTGATTGGTTCCAGGATCCCCATTCAGATACCAAAATCTGCAGATGCTCAAGCCCCTTGCATGAAATGGCATAGTGAAGCTGGGCACCGTGGCTCACGCCTGTAATCCCAGCACTTTGGGAGGCTGAGCTGGGTAGATCACAAGGTCAGGAGTTCAAGACCAGCTGGTCCAACATTCTGAAACCCCATCTCTACTAAAAATATACACACAAAAAAATTTATCTGTGCAGGGTGGCACGTGCCTGTAATCCTAGGGGAGGCTACTGGGGAGGCTGAGGGAAGAGAATCGCTTGAACCTGGAAGGCGGAGGTTGCAGTGAGTTGAGATCACGCCACTGCACTCCAGCCTGGGTGAGAGAGTGAGACTGTCTCAAAAAAAAAAAAAAAATAGCATAGCAATTGCATAGAACCCATGCACATCCTCCTGTATACATGAAATCATCTCTTGATTACTTATAATTCCTGACACAGCCTACACGCCACTCAATTTGTGTCGATTCAACATAGTTTTTTGCTTTTTGAAACTTCGGGGATTTTTTTTCTCAAAATATTTTTGATTTATTGCTGATTCAATAAACATGTGTAAACCCCAGAGATATGGAGGAGTGACTGTCTATTTATAGTAGTATGAAAGATGATGTGTTGATACGTGTCCCTGTGGAGATGAGACTAACAAGGCCTATGACTCTACAAATGTTTCATCGTGGAATGACTCTGCCAGCTTTCCAGATCTGCAGAGAGTAAGAATATCACTTGTTCATCTGATTCACCATCCTTGGAACCTCCTATGTGCTGCATCTTTGGATGGAAATTGGAGTCTCAGAGACAATTCAGGCTCCACCATGCTTCCAGAAGCTCAGAGTCCAGGGCTGAGAACCCAGCGGAGAACAGATGGGGTTATGTGGACGTGGTAATGATAACACCGGAAGCCTTAGGCAAGAAAAGAGTCCCATTGAAGAAACCATGAGGGCAGACATGTTTACTTGAAGAATAGAAAACTACATTGAAATTATAAAAAAAATTTATAAGTTTTACTGCTGACAGAAGGCTGAAAGATACTCTGAGGAAAGGTGGAATAGCACGTATCTAAGTGCCGTGTTAAGAGGGAGCCTCTTATATGTTTGGAATTGTGAGTTCCTCAGTGTGATCGCAGCCTCAAGTAGACTAGGAAGTAAGCCAGTTAGGTTGGAGAGGTGGGCAGGGGTCAAGTGAAATGGAGAATTGTGGGCTAAGCAAGTGTGTTTTCTCTCCAGCAGGCAGTGGGGACCTTAGACATTTGTAAGCAAGAGAGAGGCATGTTCAGATTCGTGGTGTGAGGAAGAGCGATGCCCTAAGATGCAGACTCACGCCTTCAGAGTCCAGCTGCTGGTACATGGGAGCTGGCAACCCGGTTTTGAGACAGGGCTATTGTCTCCCTAGAAGATCCCATCAAGGCCTGACTGTGGTGCTAGTGGACAGAAGACAACTTTGGATCTGCGCTCAGCATTTGGAAGTTCCGTGTTACACGCTGGTATCTGTTGGGGGTGTCTTGGGCCTCTGAGAAGGGCGAGTGATTTTTCTCTGTGTGAAAACGCAGTGATTCAACTGTGCGTATGTCACCTCCTGAGGGTCTTGTTCATCAGAGTCCTGGAGGGAGGGAAATGCTGAGTGAGGGAGGGTGCTCACATTTTCCAGGACTCTTTGGGAATAAGACTAGCCACGAGGCTGGGCGGAGGAGCACCTACCTCCCTGTTCACTGTTCTGTTCCCTGCAGGCTCTTGGTCCATTACAACAGCATCTGTAGAAGACGGAAGTCGTCAAAACAGCTCGGAGGGCACTTCTGGGTCCTCATTTCATAAGCAGATACCAACATACAGGGGGAGGCCATAGGTGCCTGAGGTCCCTCAGTTGCCAACAGCAGACTCAGACATTCTATCTCTCTGAGCTCAAGGATCCATCCCATGTATAGCTCTGAGTTCCCATCCTATTGATTCTGTGTCCCACTTTCTGCCTGTCATGGAACCTTCTCCTGGATGTGAGTGGCTGCAGGGGATGTGAGGATACGGTTCAGAATCAGGCAATGGTCTGTGAGCTGAAGGCAGAGGCAGGGAGTCTGGTGCTCTCTCTAGAAAGTCCTGCCTCTGTGGCTCCTGCCTTGGGCCAGGGACCATCCAGTCTGTGAGGAACACACACCTGAGTGCTCCCATCCTGCTTCCCCACATGGCCCTGAGCTCTCTGGCTTCTGCTTCGTGAGACTTACTCTTTTTGTTGGCACACCAGCGATGAAGGAGAAAGAAGAGGAGGATAGCAAAGGGGATGATGACCACTGAGGTCCCAATCAGAACGTGCAGGTTTCTGGAGTTACCTGGAGGAAGACAAGACACCAATAAGAAGCTAATCATAGCAGTTCCTCTATATGAATTGTCTCACATTTCTTGATTGACAGGTAACCACATACAACGTCTCTTTAGGACAAGCACCCAGATGGCGGGAGACCTAGCTTCCTCCTGCTTTCTCAGTTGTAGTAACCATAGAACGTGCTGAGGATACAACTGCTTTAGTTTAGATGTTTGACCCCTTCAAACCTCACATTGAAATGTAACCCCCAGAGTGGGAGGTTGGGCCTCTTGGGAGTTGTTTGGGTCATGGAGGTGGATCCATCATGAACAGATCAATGCTGTTCCAAGGAGACGGGGTTAGCAAGTTCCCCCTCTATTAGTTCCTGGAGAACTGGTTGTTAAAAGAGCTTGGAAGCTCCATCGCTCCCCCTCCCCCTTGGTCCCTCTCTTGCCGTGTGATCTCTGTGGTCTCTGCACAGACAGACCCTCCTTCCCTTCTGCCAGAGTGGGAGCAGCCTGAGGCCGTCACAAGAAATAGATGCTGGTGCCATGCTTCCAGTACAGCCTGCAGAACTGTGAGGCAAACACATTTCTTGTCTTTAGAAGTTACCCAGGCTCAAGTGTTCCTTTAGAGCAACAAAAATGGACTAAGACAGCAACGTCCTGAGATCAGGAGGAACATCCCAGAACAGCCTGGGCTGTCTTCCTGTTCTTCCTGGAGGAGGACGTCATGCAGTGCTTTAGCTGAGTGCTTCCTGTGGCTCCAGGGTACAAAACCCAGGCTGGGCTGCTTTTTGATTTCCCCCAGATACACTGCATATGGGGTGACTCCACATGTCTCGAGCAGCTTTTCTGAGCCTTGAGGGACTGGCTCACATTGAAATGTAGGTTTCTGTTGTCACTCGCTGCTTATCTGTTAGTAATGAACCTGCCTGTGTAATGTGTTCTCTGTGTGTTCTGTCTCCCTGGAGTGACGGTGAGTGATAGGAATTGGTATAGGCCCAGGTGCATTCCAGGAGGTGTTTAGAATCTTCTCTGGGAAGACTGGATTGGGATTGATACACAGCGAATGTGCTTTACAGTTTCTACCACCACAACCCTCTTGACTCAAAAAAATTACATTCTCCAAGAAAAGAAAGAAAAAATGAAATCAAGATAAAAAAAGTGAAGTAGAACTGACTTAAATCAAACAGCCATGAAATAATGATGTAGCCCAGGAACAACATGCTACTTTTTGTGATCTGCTGAGACATATATTAGGCTGCTATTCCACCCGAGAAGCACGGGGAAGGACCGCCCTCTCCGTCGTTTATTGTTTCAATACAGCCTGTCCTTCTGTGAGTTAGTACGAAATGTGACCAGGGGCTAGTGCTGGCACTGGTCTCTGAGTCCAAGATCTGAGCTCACTCCAAAGAGTATTAGTGTTTACCTCCCCATGATCTATCTGTATCTCCATAGGTGATTGGAAGTAGAGATGAATTGGGGGATTTGGGTGAAGGGGCAAGTTTTATGCCATGAACAGAGCACGTTCTCTATTCCAGGACCTGTGCTGGTGGGTTCAGGAGGCTTTCACATTTTCCATATGATCCCAAGCTCACAGAAAGCCAAATAAGGAAGAGGTTTAACCTGATTGTTTAATGGATAAGATAAAGGGTCAAAGAATTAAACACAGAGAAATAGAAAAATGATGGTTGGTATCCAGTTGCCTTTGTAATTTCTGTGTGTCATAATTATGTATGTTTTATTTTTATTTTTTGAGACAGAGTCCCCCTGTGTCAGGCTGGAGTGCAGTGATGCGATCTCAGTTCAACCTCTGCCTCCAGGGTTGAAGCCATTCTTCTGCTTCAGCCTCCCCAGTCGCTGGGATTACAGGCAGGTGCCAATGCACCAGGCTAATTTTTGTATTTTTAGTACAGACGGGGTTTCACCATGTTGGCCAGGCTGGTCTCAAACTCCTACCCTTAAGTGATCTACCCGCCTTGGCCTCCCAAAGTGTTGGGTTACAGGTGTGAGCCCCCATCCACAGTCTTGTATATTATATTATACTAGGTCCCTTCATTTGCACCACCCCTCATGTGTCTATCGCTCCTCTGCCAGGTATTGATTTAGATGTAGAAAAAAAACACATCTCAGAAAGAAATTAATGAAACAAGGATTAAACTACTAGGAAAAATCAAACCCAGCAAGCCCTCCCTGCAAATGATTCTACCTCACAAGCATAGCTTATATCCATCTTTCATTCATTTAGTGTGTAAATCAACCCTACGTTTCACCAGTGGGGCGGGAATTGCCTTTTCCACGGTCTCCTAGATTCCAGTTACGCACCTGGGCCTCCCTTATTTTCATGTCGGTCACTGTTAATCAGGTAGGGATTCCTAGTTAGCTCTGAGTTGAATCCAAGGGCTGTGAGTATCAAAAACATGCTCCTTGTTCCTCCTTAGTTTCCTGTGTACCCAGTGTGCTCTCCATCTCTCTACAGTTGTCTTGTCATTCTCCCCATCTCATTCCCAGCATTTGAGGCAGAGCCTCTTCCTTGAACTAAGAATGTTTCCACCTTTGTGCCTTCACGGCTGAGAGCTCAGTGTGGAAAATCCTTCCGCCAATCTTCCAAGGGTTGAATCCATTTTTTCCATTAAGGTCACAAATATTATCTGATCAGTGAGACCTTCTCTGTCACCTGAAATTATATACTCAGCATTATCTATTACTTATTTTAAATCCTGGCTGGGCGCAGTAGCTCTCGCCTGTAATCTTTGCACTTAGGGACGCTAAGGCGGTGGGATCACTTGAGATTGGGAGTTTGAGACAGCCTGCACAACATGGTGAAACCTCATTTCTACTAAAAAATATACCAAAAAAATTAGCCGAGTGTGGTGGCGCACAGCTGTAATCCCAGCTACTCGGTAGGCTGAGGCAGGAGAATTGCATGAACCCAGGAGGCAGAGGTTGCAATGAGCTGAGATTGTGCTACTGCACTCCAGCCTGTGGAACAGAGAGAGACTCTACTCAAAAAAAAAAAAGAAAACAAAAAACACACACACACACAAAAAACCCCAGATTTGGTGCACAGATGCTTCCCAATGGATCATTCATTTATTGGTACCCTTGTGCATTCATTCTCTGCCCTCGCATTTACCCATCTGCAATATCAGCGTCCCAAGAGCAGAGGCCAAATGCATCCTGTTTACCATTTGTGGAAGGCAGGAGAATGCTGCCCCACCCCCAAAATGTCCCTGTCTTAGCCTCCATAGCTTGTGAATATGTTATTTTACAGGAAAGGAGGAATGAAGATTGCAGATGGCATTACGGTTGCTAATCAGCTGAACTTAAAAAGAGGGTACGCTGGATGATTTTAGGGAGATTGAGATGGATTATCTTGGTGACCCCAATAGAATCCCAAAGTCCTTAAAAGATGAGGAAGAAGGCAGAGCAGGATTCAGAGAAAAAGGTATGGGTAAAGAAGAAGAGTCTGAATGATGCCATGTGAGACGTGACCAGCCTTTGTGGGCTTTGAGGAAGGAGGAAGGAGGAAGGGGACCAGGGGCCCAGGAACGTGGGAGCCTCTAGGAGCTGGGAAACGTTAAGGAGCAGATTCTTGCTTGGAACCTTAAAAAGAAATCCAGCCTTACTGTCCCTTTGATATCAGCCCAGTGAAATGCAGTTCATACTTCTGAGTTACAGCACTGTGAGATAATTAAGAAAAACATGTTTTCATCCACGAAGCTTGTGGAAATTTGTTATGGCAACAATAGGAAAAGATTCCACACTGCACAGCCAGAGCATGGGGCATTGGCTGAACGAGTGAGTGAGTGGAAGTGTCGTGTGCATAAATAAGCTAAATTCTCTCTTACTGCACGTCTCTTGCTCTGCTGAGTCAACCAGGGTTGCATCTGGTACACTGCTGATACGAATGCAAATTAGTACAGCCATTACAGAGGAGAAGAGTATGGAAGTTCCTCAAAAAATAAAATGAGGTCGGGCACAGTGGTTCATGCCTGTAATCCCAGCACATTGGGAGGCCGAGGTGGGTAGGTCACTTGAGGTCAGGAGTTGAAGAGCAGCCTGGCCAATATAGCGAAACTCTGTCTCTACTAAAAATATAAAAATTAGCCGAGTGTGGTGGTGGGAGCCAGTAACCCAGCTACTTGGGAGGCTGAGGCTGGGGAATCTCTTGAATCCTGGAGGTGGAGGTTGCAGTGAGCCCAGATGGCACCACTGCACTCCAGCCTGGGCAACAAGAGTGAAACTGTCTAAAAAAAACAAAAACAAAAACAAAAACCATAAAACAAAATGTAAAAAGACACTTCCAGAGGATCTAGCAATTCCATGACTGGGTGTAAACCCAAAGGAAAGGACATCAGCGTATCGAAGTGACATCTGCACTCCCATGACTGTTCCAGCAGTGTTCACAGTAGCCAAGATGTGGATCAACCTACCTGCCCATCAGTGGGTGAATGGATGGAGAGAATGTGGTACACACACACAATAGGGACAACTCATCCATAGAAAGAGTAACATCCTGTCATTTACAGCCACATGAATGGAACTGGAGGTCATTACAAGTATTTCCATTTCTCACTCATATGCAGGAGCTAAAAGGTGGATCTCACAAAGGTAGAGAGTAGAATGGTGGCTACCAGAGGCCAGGAAGGGAAGGGTGGAGGGTAAAAAAAAAAGAATACTAATTAATTAATTAATTAATTTTGAGAGAGTGTCTCTCTCTGTTGCCCAGGCTGCAGTGCAGTGGCATGATCTCAGCTCACTGCAACCTCCGCCTCCTGCAATTAAGTGCAACTCCTGCCCAACCCTCCCAAGTAGCTGGGACTACAGGCATGTGCCACCATGCTCGGCTAATTATTATCATTATTATTATTATTTTGTATTTTTAGTACAGATGGATTTTCCCCATGTTGGCCAGGGTGGTCTTGAGCCCCTGATCTCAAATGATCCACCTGCCTTGGCCTCTCAAAGTGTTGGGATTACAACAGTGAGCCACCGTGCCCAGCCTATAAATGTATTTATGAACAGTAGACTTCACACTTAAAAATGGTAAAGGTGGTAAATTACATAGGTATATTTCACCTCAATAAATATTTCTTCAAACAAAAAGAAAAGGGTGTAGGCGTTGCTGGTGATGACATCTCTCTGTGGGTGACAGGCCAGGATGGGCTTCTGGGAAGTGGGTAAGGTTGAGGGGCTGAGAGAACCTCTGATCTCCCCAGGCAGAGCCCAGTCTCCCTCCTCTGGGTCTGTTCTGACCTCTTTCTCCATCTGCCTGGGTGCCTGGAACCCTGATCAAGGGCCTCCTTGCAGGCCATACAGGAGGGTTTGGAGGTGCCCTGTCTGCCATCCTGCCCCCTGACCCCGCCCTTACACCCATGCTGTGTGTTCTGTCTCGGCATCTGTCCATGCTTCTCTCCATCATCAGCAGGAAGCTCCTCAGCTATGGCTCTAGGATCACAAGACATGGGACAGGCATGGTGTTTTCTCACCTGTGACAGAAACGGGCAGTGGGTCACTCGGGTCTGACCACGCGTGGGGCAGGGCACGGAAAGAGCCGAAGCATCTGTAGTTCCCTCCGTGGGTCACAGGGCCCAGAGGGAAGTTGGCCTGGAATGTTCCATTGACCCTCAGCACCGCAGTGAGCCTAAGTTCACCGGCCTCTGCCTCCCTGGATAGATGGTAAATGTCAAACAAGCTCCGGGAGCTGCAGGACAAGGTCACATTCTCTCCTGCCTGAACCGTGGGGCCCGGCTGGGCTGAGAGAGAAGGTTTCCCATATAGACCTGGAAGGAGAAGAGGTGGTTTCCTCAGGGAGGTTCTTCGTTGTCACAGCTCTCCTCACACCTGAGCTGAGAACTCACTCCCCTGCTCTATGACTTAATGCTCTCTTTCTCTCTCTCACCCTCCACCCCCATCTCTCTTCATGTCTATTTCCTCCTTCCACCTTCTCTGTCTCTCTAGGTCTCTGACCTCACTTCTCCATCCCTAGCTATGTTTTCTTTTTTTGTACCATTTTATTCTCTCTGACCCTCCTTGGACTGGTTGACTTGATCTTCCTCTTTCTTTAATTCTGAGTCTCTCACTTTCTGTCTTGCTCATAACTTTCTGCATATTTCTATCTACTATCTATTGATCGATCTATCATTTATCTATGTATGTATCTATCATCTATCATCATCTGTGTATCTATGACCTATCTCTCTGTTATCTATCATCTATCAATCAATGTATGTATGTATGCATCTATCCATCTATCATCATGTGTTTATCTTTCTATCTCTCTATATCTATTTATATATCATCTGTCTGTCTTTCTACTTGTCTATCTATATCATCTATCAGTCATTCATCATCTATTTGTCTATCACCTGTCTCTCTATTATCTATCATCTACCTTTTATCTTTCATCTATCTATATCTATCTATCCATCTATCATCTGTCTCTCTCCATCTCCTTGTCTTTCTCTGCCTCTCAGTCTCTCTAGTTCCCTTTTGGAGTCTCTGCAATCCATCCCCACATCTTTATCTTTCCCTGTCTTTGTGCCCCTCCCTCAGGGCTCTGATTTTAGGGCTTTTCTCTGCTTCCTTCCATCATACGCTCCACTTCTCTGCCCTCTTTTTCTATCTCTTTATGTGTCTGTGAGTCTCTCAATTCCCTTCTTCTGGCTCATTCTGTGTGTGTGTTCATGTCTTTGCTTTTTGATTTCCCTGATTTCACTCCGTGTCTCTCTGTGGGCTTTTGTTCTCAGTAATCCTATAACATGTGGTGCTATTTGAATATGAGCCTCAGAATCCAGTATGGGGACTCCAGGAACTCACAACATACAGGGGTTGGTGTTCTGCTCCCTCACCTGGGGCCATGGTGTCCTGCGACGACGACAGCTCCACTGCACGGAAGGCAGAGGTTTAAGAATAAACACAGCATCTGTAGGTGCCACCAGCCTGGGGCCACACGGCCCAACTCAGGCCAGATAGATGTGTCTCTTTGGGTTCTCCTGGGAGAGAACACTTTGTAGAGGTAAAACAGAATGGAACCTTCTAACCTGTGCCTGGTCTCTGAACAAAGTCAGCATAGAAGGACACCTCTCTCTGGGATATATCTGTCTCTCTGTGTCTTCTTTACCTCTTTATCTCTTTTTCTAACACCTTGTATGGCCCCTGTGTCTGGCTTCTATGTTATGACATGAGGTCTGTACTTGTGTCTCCTGTTTCTCTGCCTTTGTTGGTACAGACCTCACCAAGTCACTTTCTCTCCATAGGAACCCCACACTCATCTTCCTCATGACCACCTGGGGCTTCCAGTCCTAGATCATTCACTCCATCTCCCAGCAAGGGTGAGAGGCAGGTCTGTATTCTCTCACCTACGACCACGATGTCCAGAGGGTCACTGGGAGCCGACAACTCATAGGGTAAGTGAGTGACAGAACCAAAGCATCTGTAGGTCCCTGCAAGGGCAGGTGTCATGGGACCCATGGAATAGTTGACCTGGGAACCCGCATCGTGGAGCTGTCCAATGAGGCGCAAGGGGTCCTCAGTGATCCCCTCTCTGTGCAGAAGGAAGCGCTCAAACCTGACATCTGACCAACATTGCAGGATGACCGTCTCTCCCGATTTCACCAGGGGACCTGGGTGGGCCAGGAGGGAAGGTTTTCTGTGGACTCCTAAGAAGAGAGGTTGTGAGTTCAGAAGGCGTCTCCCTTTCTCATCCCATTCATGGGACCTGAAATAAGTGAGGCTTCCCCTCCATGGTGTCTATCTCTCTCCTTCCTCTCTGTGTCTCCGTGTTCTTTTGTGCCCATAACCCCTGTTGCAGGTCCCTCCATCTGTCTCCCTCCCTCTTCCCTGTCTCTCTGTCTCTAGTAGCCCTGATTCCCTTCCCACTGTGCTCAGTGTCACCTCTTATGCTGTTGTATCTGTTTCCCACTAATCTCTTTCCTGGTGTTTATGTGGGGGTGGAAGAGGAACCACGACAGGCTGCATGTCCAGGCTCTTAGCAGCCTGAATCAATCTCTTTTGGACAGATTGGAAAGGCTGGCAGGAGGTACGAACTCATCAGTAAGGCAGGCATCAGTGTCCCTGTTCCTGATGGGGATTGGGAGCCTCTCCTGTCATGTCTGTGCCTTCTCCATGGCCCCAGCTTCCATAGGGTGGCCCCTGGTGCTGGTTCCAGGAGCATCAACCCCTCCCTATGTGGATCGAGCCTGGTGGTAGCATCAGTATCCCACCCATGCTAAAATCAGTGTAGCCAACCTTCTCCTTGTTTGGTTTCTTAACTTGTGCTTCACCTGGGTTCCTGTGTTGGTTTCCTGTTGCTGCTGGAGAAAATTGTCACAAACATGGGGCAGGAGAGAATACAATGACCCCTTCCACTTCTGGAGAACAGAAATCGGACCCAGTTCTCTCTGGGCTAAAATCAAGGCATCTACAGGGCTGTGTTTCCTCTGGAGACTCAGGGAAGAATCAGTTCCCTTGACTTCTCCAGCCCTTAGAGGCCAACTGCCTTTGTGGCTCATGGCCTTCCCCCATCTTCAAAGCCCGCTGTGGCTGATGGAGTCTCCCTCCCACGACGTTGCTCTAACCCCACTTTCCTCTTCCTCCTCCTCTCATGAGGACCCTTGTGATTACTCTGAGCACAGCAGGACAGTCCAGGCTGTCTCCCCATCGCAAGGTCAACCCATCAACAACCTGAGCTCCATCTTCCCCTTCAGTCCCCTGCCCTATGACATAAATAGTCACAGGGTTCATGGATTACCATGTAGCCATCACTGGGGACAATTATTCTTCCCACCACAGCAACTATTTCTCTGTACTGAATCCCCCTTTACCCCAAATACAGTCTGGGCCTGGATGATTGGACCCTGATGGACACCCCCACCAGAAGCTCTGGGATTCAGGAGGTGGGACAGTGAGAAGCCCAGACAGAAAGCCTCTGACCTGTGACCATGATCACCACAGGGTTGCTGGGTGCCGACCACCCAGTGGGGGAGTGTGGGTGTGAACTGCAACATCTGTAGGTCCCTGCATGTGCTGGGGTCACAGGGCCCATGAGAAAGCTGTTCCGGAATATTCTGTTGTAGAGCTCAGGGACAGGCATCCCGTCTTCTTTGGACAGACTGAATTCGTTAAACCCAAGACGAGAGCGACACTGAAGAGTCACATGTTGTCCTTCAGACACCACAGTGCCGGGCCAGGCAGAGAGGAAGGGCTTGTCCTGACCACCTGGGGGAGAAGGAGGCACTACCTTAGAGAGGAGGATGTGGAGCCGCCCCTCCCTCCCTGTGCTCAGAAGATTCTCCCATTTCCACGTTTCTAAGGCTCCTACCACACCTGGGTGCCCAGGGCTACAGGAAGGACCCATCCCGCATAGACATGGCGTCTCCCTACAGCAAGTGTCAGCTGAGAACTTTGAGCAGGTGCTGAAGAAGCGACTCTTACTAGATTTTAACACTGCAAAATTACTTACATAAAAGAACACAAGGTAGACACAGGATGGAGGGCATGATCAGCTAATGCATGAACCATAATAAACAACTGAGCCCCTATTAGAAGATCTGGAATGTCAGGGTCATGACTGTGGTTCCCCCACCTCTTAGGTAGAATGACAGCAGCCACATTGCAGCCCCTACCGTCATGGAAACGCTGGAGGGTGTGAGTTATGCTCTTGTCCTCAGAGGCCTGTTGTTCCTTGCACTGCTTCTCTCCCTTCCTCTGCCGGTGACACCACTTCCTCCCTGCACACCACTCCTTTGAGCACTTCAGTCTCCCCCTGGGTCCCCACAGACTCAGCCAAGGGAAAGAAAGGCCGGGGAGGGCTAGGACAGAACTGTGGCGAAGCTTCCCCTGGCTTCCTTTTCCTAGTTCATGAGAGATTCCCACATGGCTTCCCATGGTCAGCCCATCAGTCAACCCCCTGTGTCGCCTGCCTCCCGTTTCAGGAACATCATCTTATGTGGGGAGATGACAACCTAAGGTTTGGGGGAAGGACTCACCCACATGTGGCCAGGGCCCCTCCAGCAAGAAGAACCCTGGAAAGAAAGATCATGATGGATGATCCATCTGTACATCACCTCCAGGCCCATATCTCCACTCCAGGCCCATATCTCCACTTCCGTCCTATATCTCTACTCCAGGCCCATATCTCCACTCCAGGCCTATATCTCCACCTCTGTCCTATATCTCTACTCCAGGCCCATATCTACACTCCAGGCCCATATCTCCACCTCCAGGCCTGTATCTCCACCTCCAGGCCCGTGTCTCCATTCCAGGCCCATATCTGCACTCCAAGCCAACATCTCCACTCCAGGCCCATATCTCTACTCCAGGCCCATATCTACAGTTCCAGGCCCATATCTCCACCTCCAGGCCCATATCTCCACTCTAGGCCCATATCTCCACCTCCAGGCCCGTATCTCAATTCCAGGTCCATATCTGCACTCCAAGCCAATATCTCCACTCCAGGCCCATATCTACAGTTCCAGGCCCATATCTCTACTCCAGGCCCATATCTCTACTTCAGGCCCATATCTACAGTTCCAGGCCCATATCTCCACTCCAGGCCCATATCTCCACCCCAGGCCCATATCTCCACTCCAGGCCTATATCTCCACTCCAGGCCCATATCTCCACTCCAGGCCCATATCTCCACTCCAGGCCCAGATCTCCACCCCACCGCTCCCTCCCTCGATTCCCTTCCAGGACTCACCAACACACGCCATGCTGACGACCATGAGCGACATGGTGCTGCCGGTGCAGACAGGCGGCTGCGCCCCAGCTCAGTTCAGCAGCACACAGGATGTTGTGAGGGGCTCATGCAGTTTACATGCTGACCACATCATGGGAGGATGACGTATGCAGGCTATTTCTACCTTGCATGAGGCCCAGTGGCTGTTTGGTCAAGAGCAGAACATGGCTTCCTGGAAATTGTTCCAACTAGAATTGACACCTTGCATCCTTCACTATAACCAACTCAAAACACGTCTCAGATCCAATCTCTCATACAGGAGATGACTGAATGCTTGGCTTACATTAAAGACTTTTGATGTATTTTTGTTGTTTTTATCTGAGATTCAAACTCTTCTTCATGTGCTATTTTCCCCAGGCTGTTCTTTGACTTCAGAGTTCAAGCAATCCTCCTGCCCCAGCATTTCTAGCAGCTGGCAGTATGTCACAATCTGCCACACCCAAGTCACAACTTTTAGAACTTTTTTTTTTTTTGAGATGCAATCTCACTTCGTCACCCAGTTTGGAATGCAGTGGTGAGACCTCGGCTCATTGCAGCCTCCACCTCCCAGGTTCACGCAATTCTCGTGCCTCAGCCTCCTAAGTAGCTGGATTTACAGGCACCCACCACCACGCCCACCTAATTTTTGTACTTTTAGTAGAGAGGAGGTTTCTCCATGTTGGCCAGGCTGGTCTTGAACTCCTAACCTCAAGTGATCTGTCTACTTCAGCCTCCCAAAGTGCTGAGATTACAGGTGTGAGCCACCATGCCTGGCCGGGACATTCTATATGTGTGCGTATGTGTGCATTTATATACATATGGTTATACACACACACACACACACACACACACACCCTAAGCACTCACATATATAGTTGTTTCAAATTTTAAAAAATATAAATTTTGTATTTTTCTTTCTTTTTCTCACATTTGTGTTTCTATGACACCATATACATATTGAATTTTATAGCTCTATTTTATTCTTTTGGATTGCAGTTTAATAGTCCATGCATAACTTTATCAACATGTAATTATCCATTCTTTTTATCATGGACATTTGTGTTGTTTCCGGATTTTCTCTTTTATAACTCGGGCCTTGATAATCGTGTTTCTGTGTGATCCCTTGCATACATATGCTGAATTAATTAGACATATTTACCTAGAAATGAAATTATTGGTTTTGGGTGCAAGTTGGTGTTGAGCTTAACCAGGAAGTGCCAAAATATTTCCATCATGACCAAATGTGGCCTGGAAAGTTTTTTGGGGTCAATTTTCCTGTTTCTTCTAAGGAACAAAATTGATGTCACTGATTTTTCTGTCCTGTTTGTCATTTATGAATGTATGTACATATGCACGTATATATTTGCTTGCCATTTTATGTTTTTCCTCGACGTTACTTTGGAATTAATTTGCTGATGTGTAGTATTTCTGCAAGTGAAAGTTACCTATTTACTCAGCTCTTCCTTCTTTTCTAACACAGACATTTGAGGCTTATTGTCCCTTAACGCTGTTCTATCTGTATCCCCAGTCATTTGCCGAGATGTGTTTTCATTTTTAATTGATACAAAATATTTTCCACCTTTCTTTGAAATGTTTTTCTTCCACTCATTGTTTATTGCTATGTGTGTTTATTAATTTTAAAATATTTGATAATTTCCCCAGCATTTCCTTGTTGTACATTTATAATTTAATTCAACTGTTTCATCTATCATATTACCTATGATTCAGCATTTAAAAATTTATTTTGGTGAATGTTCCAGGGGTGCTAGACAAGTTTGTGGATTAGGAAGATTTGAGGTGGATGTTTTCTAAATGTCAGTTAAGAAAAAAATCATTCAAATGTTTTTCTTTATTTAAAAAAAATAGAGACGGGGTCTCACTATGGTGCCCAGGCTGGTCTCAAACTCCTGGCCTCAAGTGATCCTCCCATTTTGGCCTCCCAAAGTGCTAGGATTATTGAAATTATTAAATGTTTCATATCAACACCCAACCTTATGCACCCGCCGCCTACACAAATGTTTTTCAAGTCTTTCATATGCTTAATAATTTTCTGTGTACTTGTTCTGGAAGTGAGGTGAATGTTGCTATCTCTAGCTGCAATTTGGATGTGATTGATTATGTTTTGAATTATGCCTTTAATTTAATGTGTTTTGAGGTTCCAGCTTTAAGTGTGTAGGCATTTAGGATGATTATGTCTTATTTATGAATTTGCCTCTTTGTCATTATGAAGTACTCCTCTTCATATCTCCATATATCTCTTCTTTGTATGTGCATGGTGAAATATTTCATTCTTTGAGTTAAGAAACTTCTATTGAGGAATACTTTTTATTACAAACATTTACCTATTCTATGTATACAACTGACTAGAAGCATATTTTGCACTGGGCATTATCATGACAAGGTAATGTCATTCTTTCAATATTTACATCTTGTGGATTAGTATTTGAAGTGCAGCTTATGTAGACAGCATAAGGTTGGGTGTTGATATGAAACATTTAATAATTGCACACGTATTTGCCTCTTGGGATACTTCCACTTTTTTGAATTTCAAGTTACTAAATGGTATCATTAATCTTTGCTTCAAGAGCTTAACATTTATTGTAGAACAATGCTTCATGTAATAAATTGTGAGACATTTTTAATGGCACCTTTATTGCAGGAAAATGTTTTCCTTTTCAGGTTGAAAGATTCTAGTTTGAAATATTTTCTTGTAGCACTTTAAAAATGTTGGTCCACCTGTTTCTTACTTTCATAGTTTTGAATACAAAGTTTGCTGTCATTCTTGTATTTCTTCTTCTGTTTTTTATTTATTTATTTTTGACAGAATATCTTGCCGTCTCACCCAGGCTGGAGTGCAGTGGCATGATCTTGGCTCACTGCAACCTCTGCCTTCCAGGTTTCAGCAATTCCTGCCTCAGCCTCCTGAGTAGCTGGGACTACAGGCATGCGCCACCATACCCAGCCAATTTTTTTTTTTGTATTTTTTTTTTGTAGAGATGAAGTTTTGCCATATTGGCCAGAACTCCTGACCTCAAATGATCCACCTGCTTTGGCCTCCCAAAGTGCTGGGATTACAGGTGTGAGCCACTGTGCTCAGGCTATTTATTCCTTTTTATATAATATGAATTCACATTCATACATACCAGGGGTTAGGATTTCAACAAACGTTTCTGGGGGAGACCACTCAAAACACAGCACTCATCCTTGGTTATTTCCAGCCATGGAGCCTGTATCAATATCCTGGTGAATTATCTAAGCTGTCCACCTACCTACCCCAAATCCTCATGGTCACATAAAAGGCTAGTATAGTATAATAATTTTTCTTTCCCTGCTTATCTACAGTGATGAAGAAACGAATATTCAAAGGGAAAAATCTTAGCTTTAGGTATAGGGTAATTCTTCTTCCTATTTTTAAATAACTTCAACCTTTACTGTAGATTAAAGGTATGCATGCAGGTTTGTTACATAGGCATATTGTGTGACTCTGAGGTTTGTGGTTCCAACAATGCCATCACCCAGGCAATGAGCATAGAATCCAACAGGTGTTTCTTCAGCCTATACCTCCCTACTCCTCCCCCCATCTGTAGTCCTCGGTATCTGTTGTTTCCATCTTTATGTTCATGTGTATTCAATGTTTGGTTCTCAGTTATAAGTGATAACATGTGGTATTTGGTTTTCTGTTCCTGGGTTAGTTCACTTAGGAGATTGACCTCCTGCTACATTCATGTTGCTGCAAAGGACATGATTTCATTATTTTTTATGGCCATGTAATGTTCCATGTGTATATGTAGCACATTTTCTTTAACTAATCCACTGTTGGTGAGCACTTAGGTTGACTGCAAATCTTTGCTATTCTGAATTGCACAGCAATGAATATACTAGTGCATGTGTCTTTTTGACATAGTTAATTACCTTCCTTTTGGTATATACCCAGTAGTGGGATTGCTTGATTGAATAGTAGTTCTATTTTAAGTTATTTGAGAAGTCTCCAAACTGCTTATCACATTGGCTGAACTAGTTAACATTCCCACCAAGAGTGTATAAGTGTTCCCTTTTCTCCACAATCTTGTCAGCATCTGTTATTAAAAAAAACAAAAAACTTTTTAGTAATTGCTTCTGCTTCTCTGATTGTTGTGAGATGGTATCTCACTGTGGTTTTAATTTGCATTTCTCTGATGATTACTGATAATAAGCATTTGTTCATATGTTTTTTGGCCATGTGTACATCTTCTTTTGAGAAGTGTCTGTTCATGTCATACTTAATTGAGGTTTTTTGGTTTTCTGCTTGTTGATTTGTTTACATTCCTTATAGATTCTGGATATTAGAACTTTGTCAGATGCATAGTTTGCAAATATTTTCTCCCAGTCTGTAGGTTATCTGTTTACTCTGTTGATACTTTCGTTTGCTGTGCAGAAGCTCTTCAGTTGAGTTAGGTCCCAATTTCTGTCTTTGTCACAATTGGTTTTGGGGAGTTAGCCATAAATTCTTTGCCAAAGTCTATCTTGAGAAGGATATTTCCTAGGTTTTCTTCTAGAATTTTAATATTTTGAGGTTTTACATTTAAATCTTTAAACTATCTTGGGTTAATTTTTGTATATAGTGAGAGTTAGGGGTCCAGTTCTATTATTTTGCATATGAGTAGTCAGTTATCCCAGAACTATTTATTGAAGAAAGGGTACTTTCCACATTGCTTGTTTTTGTCAATTTTTTCAAAGATGATTGTAGGTATGTAGCCTCATTTCTGGGTTCTCTATTCTGTCTCATTGGTCTATGTGTCTGTTTTTGTAGTAGTATCATGCTGTTTGGGTTACTATAGCATTGTAGTATAGTTTGAAGTTGGGTAATGTGATGCCTGGGCTTTGTTCTTTGTGCTTAGGATTCCTATGTGTATTCAGGCTCTTTTTTTGGTGCCAAATACATTTTAGAATAAATTTTTATAATTTCGTGAAAAATGACATTGCATTTTGAAATGGATAGCATTGACTCTGCAATTTGTTTTTGGAAGTATGGCGATTTTAACTATTTGTTCTCCTAATTCATGAGCATGGAATATTCTTCCATTTGTTTGTATCATTTCTTATTTCTTTCAGAAGTGTTTTGTAGTTCTCCTTGTAGAGAATTTTCACCTTCTTGGTTAGATGGATTCCTAGGTATTTTATTTTCTTTGTGGCTAGTGTAAATGGAATTGTGTTCTTGATTTAGTTCTCAGCTAGAATGTTAGTGGTGCATAGAAATGTTACTAATTTGTGTACATTTTTTTAATCCCGAAACTTTATTGAATTTGTTTATCAGTTTCAGGAGCCTTCTGACAGAGTCTTTAGGGTTTTCTATGTATAAAATTATTTCATCAGCAAAGAGAGACAGTATCACTACTTCTTTTCCAATTTTAATGCCTTTTATTTCCTTCTCTTGCCTGATTGCTTTGGCTAGGACTTCCAGTACCATGTTGAATTAAAATGGCGGGAGTGGTCATCTTGGTCTTGTTTCGGTTCTCAAGGGGTATGGTTCCAGCTTTTGCCCATCAATATGATGTTGGCTGTGGGTTTGTCATAGATGGCTCTTAATATTTTGAGGTATGTTCCTTTGATGCCTATTGACAGTTTTTATCATGAAGGGATGTTGGATTTTACAGAAAGCTTTTTTTGCATCTATTGAGATGATCATATAGTTTTTGTTTTTAATTATGTTTATGAGGTGAATCACATTCGTTGACTTTGTAGGTTGAACCAACCTTGCATCCCAAAAATAAAGCTTACTTGATCATGTGAATTAACTTTTGATGCACTGACAGATTCAATTTGCTAGCATTTTGTTGAGGATTTTATGTCTATGTTCATTAAGGATATTTAGTTGTAGTTTTCTTTTTTTCATTATGTCTCTGACAGATGTTGGTATCATGGTGATGATGGCTTCATAGAATGAGTTAGGAAGAAGCCCCCACTCCTTGATTTTTTCCAAAAGTTTCAGTAAGATCGGTATCAGTTCTTCTTTGTATGGCTGTTGGATTTTGGCTGTGAATCCGTCTGGTCCTGGGCTATTTTTAGTTAGTAGGGTTTTTATTACTGATTAAATTTCTGAACTTGTTATTGGTCTGTTCAGGTTTTCACTTTCTTCCTGGTTGAAATATGATAAATTTTGTGTTACCAGGAATTTATCCATTTCTTCTAGGTTTTCTAGCTTGTTTGTATAGAGGTGTTCATAATAGTCTTTGACGATCTTTTCTATTTCTGTGGGATTGTTCGTAACATTGTTTTGTCAGTTCTATTTGTGTTTATTTGGATCTTTTCTCTTTTTCTTTGTTAATCTAGCTAACAGTCTATGAATTTTGTTTATTTTTTTTCAAAGAAAAACTCTTGGTTTTATTTATCTCTTGTATGGACTTTTTGGTCTCAATTTATTCAGTTCTCTCTGACTTTAGTTATTTCTCATCTTTTGCTGGCCTTGGGTTTGGACTGTTCCTTTTTTTTAATAGTTCCTCTAGATGCAGTGTTAAGTCACTAATTTGAGATCTTTCTAAACTTCTGATGAGGCATGTATTGCTATAAATTTTCCTCTTATCACTGCTTTAACTGCATCCCAAAGGTTTTGGTAAGTTTGTTTCTATTTTTATTAATTTTAAATAATGTTTTGTGATTTCTGCTTTAATTTCATTGTTCACCCAAGAGTTCTCAAGGGGTACAGTTCCAGCTTTTGACCATTCAATATGATGTTGGCTGTGGATTTGTCATAGATGGCTCTTAATATTCATTCAGAAACAAGTTGTTAAATTTCCATGTTTTTCTGTAGTTTTGAGAGATCATCTTGGTATTTTTTTCTATTTTTATTGTGTGCCTTGTTATGATTTTGATTCTTTGAATTTATTGAGACTTGCTTTGTGGCCAGTCTTAGAATATGATATGTTTTTTGTGTGTGCAGATAAGAAGAATCTATATTCTGCAGTTGTTGGGTGGAGTACTCTGTAGATGTCTATGAGGTCCAATTGGTCAAGTGTTGTCTTTAAGACCAGAATTTCTTTGTTAGTTTTCTGTTTTAGTGATTCATCTGACGTTGTTAGTGGGATACTGAAGTCCCTTACTATTATTGTGTGGCTGTCTAACTCTTTTCATAGGTGAAGAATAACTTGTTTTATGAATCGGAGTGCTCCAAATTTGGGTGCATATATATTTAGAATAGTTAAGTCTTCTGTCAAATTGAACCCTTTATCATTTTGTAATGCCCTTCTTTGTCCTTCCTGATTGCTGTTGATTTAAAGTGTGTTTCATGTGATATAAGAATAGGAATGCCTTCCTTTTTTTTGTTTCCTGGTTGCCTAGTAAATATTTCTTCATCCTTTTACTTTGAGCCTGTGGGTGTCATTACATGTGAGATGGGTCTCTTGAAGACAGCAGGCAGTTGGCTCTTGGCTTTTTATCCACGTTGCCACTCTATGCCTTTTATGTGGGGAATTTAGGCCATTTACATTTCTTCTCCTGATATATCCTTTTTATATTTTTATGATTGCCTTTTAAAATATATTGAATGGTTGTAATTCCAGGGAAATGTCTTTCAGAACAGTATTTATTCCTATCTACATGTTTTGGAGAGTGCACTAGGGGACATTGAAGTTTATTTCCTGAAAAGAGTTTAATTTTAAAATGTATTTTATTTAATAACTCAATGATTCAGGGAATGTCTAGGTATTTCAGAGATTGTTTTAGACAGTTTGTTTTCTTGTGATATGTGACCACTTCATCTAAGCTGAATAATGTCTTCATAATGTCCACTTAGAATCTTTTGAATTCTGTAGGATCTGTACTGATGTCATTGTTTCCTTTCTGATATTGGTAATTTTCCTGGGGTAGGATTCTTAGCTCCTCCTGAGGTCCTGCCTCTAAAATTCAGGGAACAATGAGTCAGATTAGTACTCTGATTTCAAAGGGAAAGCTGATCATCTACCATTTTTTGTTTATGTAAATGGACACATTAACATCCCTTGTCTGAACCTTAGTTACCTTGTTTGGAGCATTTTGCTATAAATCTCACTTCTCAGAGTGGTTGTGGGGCTTGATGTGGCTGGGGTATGGGATGGCTTAAACATAATTTATTTCCAGACCAGGTTAAGGCATGAAGGGGTTGGGACTTGTTAGAATCCTGTTGTTGGACTCCACAGTAAGGGTAGACATTTGAGGCACCCAATCAAAAACCTCAGTTGTTCCTAGCACTGAGAAATTTGATAGAATGTTTCTAAAACATTATTCATGGTCTAATGCACAAAAAGTAAAGTGATAGCCCTGGAAGTAGACAGGGAACCATAAGAAAAAAGAGAGAGCAAAGCTCAGTGGTCACCAGTGCCTGGGACCATCAAGGGGTTATTAAGGAGGAAGTTTCCACCTCTGTGGGGAACAGAAGAGGCTCCCTAGGGTCCACACACACAGGGAGTGAGCCAAGACTCTGGGCGAGGCTGGAAGCTCTGGGTCTCCTTCTGTGAGATTTTCTTTTTTTTTTTTTGAGATGGAGTCTTGCTCTGCCACCCAGGCTAGAGTGCAACGGCGCGATCTCGGCTCATGGCAACCTCTGCATAAAGTGGTATGTATTTAAGGCATGCATTAGACAAATTACTAAGTATTTACTAGATAAGAAAAAATTATATCTGAATCTTTTCAAATTGCCGTCTTATGCATTATATTCTCTTTTTATAGTGCAATTTCTTAATAGTTAATGCCAGAAGATTTTTTTTTCTTCCTTTCTTTCTTTCTTTTTTTTTTTTTTTGAGACAGAGTCTCACTCTGTTGCCAGGCTGGAGTGCAGTGGCACGATCTCGGCTCACTGCAACCTCCGTCTCTCGGGTTCACGCCATTCTCCCGCCTCAGCCTCCTGAGAAGCTGGGACTACAGGCACCCTCTACCATGCCCAGCTAATTTTTTTTTTTTTTGTATTTTTAGTAGAGACGGGGTTTCACCATGTTTGCCAGGATGATCTCTGTCTCTTGAACTCGTGATCCACCTGCCTTGGCTTCCCAAAGTGCTGGGATTACAGGCATGAGCCACTGCACCTGGTCGCCAAAAGATATTTTTAAAAACCTAAATGCCACTTGAAATGAATAAGACCCTCAATAATTCATGGGATATACATGTGAACTTATGACATATGATGAAATAAGCAGGTTACAAAATTGTAATATATCAAGCAAGGTAGAAAGCCATGGCAGAAAAAGAGACAAGCATTTTCAAGATAAGGAATGAAAGAGGGGAAACAGTACTATTGATTTTACAGATTTTACAAAGATATCTTAGGTGTGTTTTCCTAAATAATAAATGTACCCTCCTTTTGACCTTTATGTAATGAAATAACCATGCACACATTTTCAAATAATACTTCATTTACTTGACTTTATGCTTGAAAATTGAAGTATGGTGCTGTTTGTTATTTTCATTTATGCATTTTACTACCTTGTAATATTCCACTGAGTCTATTTACCACACTATGTTTATTTTTTTCGTAGGTGGACTTTGGTATTTTATAGCTTTGGCTAATAGGAACAGCATTCCTATAACAGTTGTGAGTGTATCATGACACATAAGTAGACATTTATCTCTAGGGTACATAATTAAGTACATAATTAAGAAGGGTCACAGCCGTGTGCCTCCTCTTTTTAACTAGATAATTCCAATACACTTCCTTAATTGATTAAAGCAATTTGTACTCTTACTATTAATGTACTAAAATTCTACATGTTCAATATTCTTTCCAAAAAATGATTTTGCTACTTTTTTCTTTTATTGAGACTGAGTCTTGCTCTATCACCCAGGCTGTAGTGATCTCGGCTCACTGCAACCTCCGCCTCCTGGGTTCATGCGATTCTCGTGCCTTGGCCTCCCAAGTAGCTGGGATTAACAGGCAGGCGCCACCATGTCTGGCTAATTTTTGTATTTTTAGTAGAGACAGGGTTTCACCATGTTGGCCAGGCTGGTCTCGAACTCCTGACCTCAGGTGATCCTCCTGCCTCGGCCTCCCAAAGTGTTGGGATTACAGGCATGAGCCACCACACCCGGCCTATTTTTTTCTTTTCCCTCCATTGTGCTATGATTTTTGACATTACAATTTTACTGAAACTACACCATAAGAATGAAGCAGAAATTATTATAACCTTTAAATAAACTTTACAACTGGTTCATACTCGTGTGAACGACAATTCTTTTGACTACTTCCCAACTGTGCATTCAATGGCGTCATATGGGCACCCTGAAGTTGGCCATAAAGGACGTATTTATACCACACTAATCAGCAAATACCATAAATCTGGGGCTTTATATGTTCAGAGTTTTCTTAAGAAAATAATTTTTTCAGAGAGCCAGTTTAACAGAATACCATGAGGCTGAGCCTTCGAGCGTTAGTGTGCTCATTCTGAGAGATGATATTTCTGGACGAAGTACACAGGTATCATCCGATGAAGAGTGAAGGGAATTCAGGGTCCAGAGAGGGTGCTAGGGCATCATTTCAGACTCATATTTCCCTTTTTTTTTTTTTTTTTGGAGATAGAGTCTTGCTCTGTTGCCCAGGCTGGAGTGCAGTGGCAAGATCTTGGCTCACTGCAACCTCCGCCTCCCGGGTTCAAGCTATTCTCCCACCTCAGCTTCCTGAGCAGCTGGGATTACAGGTGCTCACTGCCACACCCAGCTAATTTTTGTATCTTTTAGTAGAGACAGGGTTTCACCATGTTGGCCAGGTTGGTCTCGAACTTCTGACCTCAAGTGATCCGCCCACCTCAGCCTCCCAAAGTGCTGGGATTACAGGTGTGAGCCACTGTGCCTGGCCTCAGACTCATGTTTCAAAGTCCCAAATACAAATCTGCCCACCTATTCCAGTTATTTAATCCAGATCTATGCTCAGAACTGAAAAGATGGAGAATCAATAGTTCACTTTAGAGAATGCGGTAGTTGGAAACAAAGACAAATGTATTACAGGACAGTGGACCAGAGCACGTGATCGCAGGGGTGTGGATGCAAACCCACCATGGGGGACGTGCCTTCACATCACAGAGAGCGAAAGGAAGGGAGGGGCAGACACGGAGGATCCACAACAGCAGGACTGAAAGCACTGCCATTTAATGGAAGTTTAATGGAGGAAGCGTTCTCTACAGGCACCCAGACATCTCCCTGAACCTGACCCAAGCCTCCCCTTCTCGACTTTCTCAGTAGACGGTTTCCCGAATGATGGTCCAGACTTTCTTCCAGAACCTCCTAGGACTATCAGACTCATTGCCAAGGCTCTGGCACTCTGAAGGGTGCATTGTTCTCTCATGTATTTACCTCCTTGCTGCATCTTGGGGACTTCTCTAGCTGTGCCAATCCTAAAGCAGCAGAATCCCGAGGACCACCGT